>NC_000010.11:17282727-17434242 GCF_000001405.40 Homo sapiens | reverse complement strand
GCCCTGGTCAGCCGGAGTTTCAGAATCTGTGGACATAGTCCCAAGAAAGCATCTGTCCCTGCTCCCAAGGAGTCCCCCATCTAGAGAGTGGGAAGCAGCATGTGTAATGACCATTCTGCATAAATGCTGTCCTTGAGATATGTCTAGGCATGAAGAGGGGGTAGCCCAGGGGAGAGAAGCCAGGGGAGGCTAAACAGGTACAAGTGCCTGTTTTGAGTCTTGGAAGGATAAGTAGAAATTCCTTGAGCAGGCAAGCAGGGAAGAAGACATTTGCACCACATCTAAAGGCTTAAGGATATAAGAACAAGATGGGTTTGTGAAGCTGAAAAATCCCTCGGGATGGCTGGGTCCCAGGATATGTGTTGAGGACAGGTGAATGTGAGGCTGGAAAAGTAGATAGGGGGGCTAGAAAACAAAGGGGCACTCCTTGCTAAATAATTCAGGCATTATCTCACAGGTTTTGAGACTCTACTGAAGGCTTTTCAGGTGAATGACCTGATGAAGTCTGTAATTTGGAGAGATTACTGGGGCTACAGTGAGGCAGAGCTGATATTCAAGCCAGGATGGCCATACCAGTTATTAAAGTGCTGAGAGGGCTGCATCCCTGAGTCCCAGGTGCTCTGTCCCCAGCCCCTGGCCCTCCTTCCAGGGACTCCAGAGGTGGATACCTGGTTGAGTGGCTGTCTACACTGGGGAAGTGCCTACCATGGACCCAGCATCTGTTTCTGATCAGTTGGGGTCTATCATGAACATTAAGTATTATTATGTTTATATTTTTGTTAGCTTGATGGGCGAAAATGGTATCTCTTTGTTTTAATTGGAATTTCCGTGATTACCAACGGTTGGATATTAAAGCTCTATCTTACATCTTTAATCTGGCAAATAAATTAGTGATGCCCTGTGATTATTTTTTTGGACCACAGGTGTTTAACAATTATTTAAGCAAGGGTGTGTGTGTAACAACTTGATATAGATGTGTCACGTGTGTTTAACAAGCTGATATAAAAATGTGTTATTGTCCTGTTGAGGAAAGGTACAGGTTATTTTTTTTCCCCCAGATTTAAAATGTTCCTGAGTCATATAAAGAAGCCAGAGAAGTTGGGATGTGACCTGTCATTGGTCTGTTAATAGAGAAACTTCAGCCAAATTAAATTTAAAGGAGTTTAATTGAGCAACAAACGATTCATGAATTGGGCAGCTCCCAGAATCACGGCAGATTCAGAGAGACTCCAGGGATGCCTCATTGTCAGAGTGAATTTATAGACAAATAAATAAATAAATAAATAAGGAAGTGACACATAGAAATTGGCAGTGAGGTACAGAAACAGCTGGGTTGGTTACAGGTTGGCGTTTGTCTTATTTGAACACAGTTTGAACACTTAGCAGTCTATGAGTCGTTGAAGTATGGCCGCTGGGATTGGCCAAAACTCAGCTATTGTTATAGGCACATACTTCTAAGTTAGCTTTTCAATCTTGTCTGACTATTAAGCTAGGTTACAGTTCGTCCACAAGGACCCAAATATAGAAGTACGGAGTCCTCAGGCCATATTTAGTTTGCTTTAACAGGTCTCACTCATCTGTTTCCTTGAGCCATTAAGCAGGATCTAAATCAGACACCAATTTGGTGTCAACTCTTTGAAAAGCTGAAAAGTGTGTTTATCATTGTCTGTGAACTCATATGCAACTGCATTTGTTGGCTATATTTTTTCCTGCTAGCATGTTTTTAGCATAAAGGTCATAAACTGGCAATAATAATGTATCATAAACGCAGGTAGTCTCTTGAAATTCACATTCGTACGCATTACATCACGGCAAATGCGTGGGGTGGAAAAGGACCTTCTCCTCCTGTCTGCCCGGATTGTTGTAATTGCCTCAGAACTAGTGTCCCCTTCCAGAATCTATTCTCAAAACAGCACACTAAGTGGTCCTTTTAAATACAAACTCCATCCTGTCCTCTCCTCCAGTGACTCCTCAGTTCACTCAGTGAAAGCTGAAGTCCTTTCCGAGGCTGGTGAGTCATTAAAAAATCTGGTCCCCACTGCTTCTCTGACTTCATCTCTTTCAATTCTACTTGCTCACTGTGTTCCAGCTGCATGGAACTTCCAGTTATTTCTAGAACATAGTATGCTCTGGCGCCTTGTCTCCAACAGTGTTCTCTTCCTGGACTAAGGGTCTTTCATGAGCATCCCCCAGATACCCACCTAGTCTACTTCTTGCTTCCGGTTTTCGGCTTCCGGCTTCCGGCTGTCTCTCCCTTCAGCCTCCACTCCTATCCCTACTTTCCGCTTCCTCTTTCTTTGCCCTATTTTTTCCTGTACCACTTTTCACCATATGACACCACATATATTTCACAGTACTTGTTCTTATCTATCTCCTCCTACTAGGCAGCGAGCTCCATGTGGACAGAGATGTTTGTCTGTTTCATTTACTGTTGTGCCTGGAATAATAATGGCATATAGTAGAAACTGACTATTTGTTGGGCAAATTCCTTTTTTTTTTTTTTTTTCCAAACGAAGACCATGAGGCACAGAGAAATTGCAGTGATTTGCCTAAGGTCACACAGTTAGTAAGTATACAACTTGGGACTTGAACCCAGGACGCCTTCCCGCAGGGTTGTTTTTAGGACAGAGAGGATCTCACGCTGGCTTTCTGAATTCTTTCCTTGTTTTTCCAGCGGGCTCTGCGTTGTTGTTCTAACAGTTTATGCTTTTTCTACCATAGCCCAGGCGGGCTATATTTTTCAGAAATCCAAATAAATCTATATTACAGTCACACCCTTTCCCCCCCCTTAAAACGAAACTTTTATTCACTAAAATAACTGCTTTCAAATTGGTATATCATTATTCCGGTCACACTTTGAAATGATGTGCTTAAAATACTTTTAAAACAGCACTGTGAAGAAATTTCTTTTATATAAATGTTACAAATGTGGTTCAAAAGACCTGCCCTGACTTTCTTTCCCTTACCCTCCATCTCGGGGTGGGAGCTACCTGATCCTCAGGTGACTTCCAGCCATCCTCAGCGGCTAGTTCTCATCCTCATGTCGGCCAAAGGTGGCAGCCCTTGGGGCAGTCTGCATCACAGTTGAGAAGAGAAAAAAGGACGAGAGCAAAGGGCTTCTTCCTAATGAGGCTTTGCCTTTGTAGTTGAAAAGGAAATCCCTACTCAAAGATTTCTGCCTAAATCTTTTTAGCCATAAGTGTCACATGCTCAGCCTTGGCTTCTGGAAGTCTAGAAATATAAATGTCTCGCTTGGTGCCTGTGTATTGAAGGCAGGGAAAGGAAAGGGGTTTGGGAATGGCTTTGGGCCACTGTCTGCCACAAGAGGGAGCCCCAGATCACACTGAGCAAGTCTTTCACGTAACCTTAATAAGAACATAAAAGGAATAATCAGCAGAGCAAATAGACAACCCACAGAATGGGAGAAAATATTTGCAAACTATGCATCTGTCAAAGGGCTAGAATCCAGAATCTACGAGGAACTCAAACAAATCAGCAAGAGAAAAATAATCCCATCAAAAAGTGAGCAAAGGACATGAATAGACAGTTCTCAAAAGAAGATATACAAATGGCCAACAAACATAGGAAAAAATGCTTGACACCACTAATCATCAGGGAAATGCAAATTAAAACCACAGTGAGATACCACCTTACTCTGGCAAAAAAAATGGACATTATTAAAAAGTCAAAAACAACAGATGTTGGCGAGGATGGGGAAAAGGGAACACTTAGACACTGCTGGTGGGAATGCAAATTAGTACAGCTTTTATGGAAAACAGCGTGAAGATTCCACTAAAAGTGGATCTACCATTCAATCCAGCAATCCCACTATCAGGTATCTAGCCAAAGGAAAAGAAATCTATATGAAAAATACACATGCACACACGTTTATAGTAGCACAATTCACAATTGCAAAGATGTGGAACTGACGTAAGTGCCCATCCAATGAGTTGATAAAGAAGATGTGGTGTATATACACCATGGAATACTACCCAGCCATAAGAAGAAACAAAATAATGTCTTTTGCAGCAACCTGGATGGAGCTGGCGGCCATTATTCTTAATGAAGTAACACAGGAGTAGAAAATCAAAAACTGTATATCCTCACTTATAAATGGGAGCTAAGCTATGAGTATGCAGAGGCATACAGGGTGCATATAATGGTCTTTAGAGACTCAGAAAGGGGAAGATGGGAGGAGGGCTAGGGATCAAAAAACTACACATAGGTACAATGTACACTGCTCCGGCGATGGGTGCACTAAAATCTCAGAATTCACCACTGTACAATTCATCCATGTAACAAAAAAACACTTGTACCCCAAAAACTATTGAAATAAAAAAATTTTAACAAAGAATATAAATATTTGGAAGAGAAGAGATGCTATAGAAGAAGGTACCAGATGCTAAATGAAGCTCCAAATGGTAAAACGTGAAGTACAAATAGAAGTTGAAAAAGTAAGGCCAGGCATTGTGGCTCACGCCTGTAATCCTGACACTCTGGGAGGCTGAGGCGGTCAGATCGCTTGAGCCTAGGAGTTCAAGACCAGCCTGGGCAACATAGTGAGACCCCATCTCTACACAAGATACAAAAATTAGCTGAGCACGGTGGCATGCACCTGTAGTCCCAGGTATTCTCAGGAGGGTGAGGTGACAGGATCACCTGAGCCCGGGAGGTGGGAGTTGAAGATTTCATGGGCACACAGGGAGAAACACACAGGGAGAAAGTGAAAGGGAGGAGAGGCAGTTGGAAGGGCTTCCCGAGAAAAGCAGCCGCTGAGCTGTGTCTCCGGGGACGAGCTAAGCAACCATCCAGGTGGAGGAAGAGGCGGCCAAGCAGAAGGAACAGCAAGTAAAAGAAAAGCTGAATTCATGCCACTGCACTCCAGCCTGGGCAACAGAGTGACACCCTGCCTCGAAAACAGAAAAGAAAAATAGAAATAAAAGGTAGAAAAAGTACTGAGGAGTATGTGGGGGTGCTGGTGGTGGGGTTAGTCGTGGTGATGATCTATTATATCCCTAAAGTGAAAAACTGGCAGTATAAATGAATAAGCGATCATAAATTGTAAGGGTAATTGATGTAGTCCAAAATATGAAACCAAGTTTTAAAGAGATATATCTACTAATACTAGATATAAACCAACAGGAGGAGGGGGCACTACAGAACGAAACACAAGATGTTAAATGAAGCCCCAGATCCCGCTTACTGTATGTGCTACTAATATCATCATGAATCCCCACACACAACAGGAAGGGGGTGTGGCGGTGCAGCTCAGGCCACAAAAGCCACATAACATGTTGACAGCGTTCAACCCCCATTCATATCTCAGGTTATCATGGACTGACTTCTGCCCCACCTACTGTTCTCCCAGCAGGCTTTCTGCCGAGATGGTCGGCAACATAGCCAACAGGCATCTATCCTTGTATTACTTGCTTCCTCGAATTTGACCATGCCTTCCGCATCACACGATGCCAGCTCTGTGGCTGTCCTCTGCTTCTTGGCACTGCTCTTCACCTTCCTGTCCCCTTTTCTATCAATTCAGACACATTCTTCTGTCTGGCCTCTGCGCCCTTTTACTTGCTGTTCCTTCTGCTTGGCCGCCTCCTCTTCTACCTAGCCGGCTGCTTAGCTCCTCCCTGGAGACACAGCTCAGCGGCTGCTTTCCTCGGGAAGCCCTTCCAACGGCCTCTCCTCTCTGTAACTTTCTCCCTGTGTGTTTCTCCACATAGGTCAGTATGACGCCAGTGTCGACTGACTTTATTTGCCCACTTCTAGGGTAGATTGAGAACAATGCAACAGCAGGGACTACCCATCATTTTTGTATCTCCAGCATTTATGGAGGGTCATATATCAAATAAAAATAAGCATTTGCTACATCAGTGAATGAATGAAAGTATTAGGGTTTGTAATGTGCTCTACAGACAGGAAGCCATCAGCAAGACAACTAAGGAGGGCCAGAGTGTGGGGAGGGGAGGGGAAGGGCCGATGGCGGCTGCACCAGGACACACCCAGCTGGGTGCTTGGCACATATTATCTGCTTATCATCAAAGCAACCTATGGAATACATGTTCCAGGTTTTATGCGATAGCATTTAAAGAAATGGGCATTGAGGGAGATTTGGTCACTCACTTTAGTGAGGAAATCTGCTAGAGATAAGACTAAAAGTTAACAGGGCTTAAAATGAAGTCAAAACAATGTCTCAAAATGCTCTGACAATAAACACGATGATCTTGTTTCTTTTTCTTCATACAAATAGAAGGACTCTTGTGTACTTCTTGCCTACTCAAACTCAGAGGCAAAAAGAGAAAGTGCTAGTCAGGGCTGTCCTCTTTTCATCAGCAAGTGTGTTTCCATGAATCCAAGATACCTGGCCATTTCTGATAGGCCATTGCTCCTGCTCCTTCAGGAATAAAGGACGAAGTGCAAGGCATCGCCTTATCAACAGGCAAGTGTCCAATGATTGCCTCTGTGAGACTGAGTCTGACTTCAGTTCTCAATATTGTCTTTTTTGGAAACCCCTTGTCATACTGTCCCTGGAGAAGAATGTCCATGTATATCAGGACTTTGGCTGAATTCACATTCAGCTGCCATCCTCAAGTTCTTGTTTTCACTTGACTGTCTCCGTGACCTTGATCTATAGAAAGGAAATCCCATCACCTTCTCCTCTGTAACTGTGAGGCAGCAAAGACAAAGCTGCTGATTGTTCTATGGCTTCGGCTCATGCTGTGATGGTGCAGCGCACTTTGAAGAGGCCTCTTCTGGAATCATTCTGACTCTGTCACATCCCCATCCCAGGTCTCCATCAGGTCTCCATCGCTCTACATCTGAAAACCTTTGGTTGTAGAACCTTGGCCTAGAGCCAAGTGTGGTCCCCAGGCCAGCAGCATTGGCAGCACCAGGGAACTCCTTAGAAATACAGATTCTCAGATCTCACCCCAGAAGACTTAATGAGAGACCCTCCAGTTGAAACCCAGTCCCTCCTAATGACTTTGATACATGCTAACATCTGAGAACTCTCATTCCTCAATGCTGGAGGTATTAGCAGTATCTTTGATCATCAGACCGTGGCATTGAACATTTTTCTCTGTTTTTTCTTTATCCCCCTTTCCCCCTTTCATGCACAGAACTTTTTTTTTTTTTTTCAGACACAGTCTTGCTCTGTCTCCCAGGCTGGAGGGCAGTGGTGCGATCTCAGCTCATTGCAACCTCCGCCTCCGGGTTCAAGCTATTATTCTCCTGTCTCAACCTCCCAAGTAGCTGGGACTACAGGTGCACACCACCATGCCTGGCTAATTTTGGTATTTTTAGGACAGACAGGGTTTCACCATGTTGGCCAGGCTAGTCTTGAACTCCTGGCCTCAAGTGATCCACCCACCTCTGCCTCCCAAAGTGCTGGGATTAGAGGCGTGAGCCACTGCGCCTGGCCCCGTGCATAGAACTTTTTCTGTACCAAAAGATGAAGTCTTTCTGCCAGTAGATCCATGAATTTTGTGGAAAATATCAAGAAGGGACAGGATTTTGGTCTAAAAGACCACCACGCTTTTACATTGTAGCAGCCAGGCTCAGCCCGTAGCCCCTCAGGTCTTACAACGAAAGTGCTTGCAAGTCAACTTCCACCTGCCAGCCTGAACATTTCTTTGCTTGAGGGCTTTCTCTGGCTGGCTGAACCACTTTCCTTGAGATGTGGGAGAATTAATGTCCCTGGGAGCAGCCTTCAATTAATGACTGACAAGTGTTGGCTTTTAAAAACGCCAGCTCTTTTTCCCACTTGGGTATCTCTGAAGCTGGTTCTCACTGGCTCCCAGAACTCTCCACACCGTTTTTTGCTGCAGTTTCTCAGTTAGCCATGTAAAAACTTGCTAGATAGCATGCATTTTATGACATGCATTTCCTTATGTATCTGTTTTAATTGCCTCCTAGTCACCCCATTGGTAAAGGGAGATTCTCACCCCAGGATTATGGGGATACCTAGACACATGACACCCAGCACTAGATAAGGAGATGGATGGCAATGTATTAGTCCCACATGTTCACAGCAGGGCAGAAGAGGACATCGCGTGCCACACAGGGTCACCAGCACTTGGGAACAGAGTGAAGAAGCAGGGGCTGTGGGAGGCTGGCTTTGTAGTATCAGCAGGGTGGAGCTTCCTCTAGTGCCTGTGGGAGGATGTGACTGTCTCGTTTGAATAATGCTATGGGGTGGCAGGCAACTGAACCCCACTACTCAGAGATAAGCAGGAACCGTGACTGGTTCCTGTGATAAGGAGGATGGCTTGGCTAGGGTACCTTATCTGTGGAAAAAGAGTGGGGATGGGAACTTGCAGTTAGGGCATTTGAGGCCCTCACAGTTTTTCCCAGATGTCAAAGCATGCATAATATTGGATCTTAATTTTAGGCCTTATACCACCGTATCTCCACCTTCCCGCTTCCCTCCCATTTTACCTGCAATTATCTCCTAAACAACCTACTTACATTTCTTTCTTTCTTTCTCTCCCTTCCTTCCTTCCCTTCCTTCCTCCTTCCTTCCTTCCCTTCCTTCCTCCTTCCTACCTTTCCTTCCTTCCTTCTTTTTCTTTCTTCCCTTCCTCCCTCCCTCCCTCCTTTCTTCCTCTCTTTCTTTCTTTCTTCCTTTCTCTTTCTTTCTCCTTCCTTCCTTCCTTTCGTTCTTTCCTCTTTCTTTTGACAGGGTCCCACTCTGCTGCCTAGGCCGGAGTGCAGTGGCATGATCTCAGCCCACTGCAGCCTCCGCCTCACAGTTTCAAGCATTTCTCCCACCTCAGCCTCTCAAGTAGCTGGGATTACAGGCGCACCACCATGCCTAGCTAATTTTTATATTCTAAGTAGAGACGGGGTTTCATCACGTTGGTCAGGCTGGTCTTGAACTCTTGATCTCAGGTGATTCAGCCTCCTCGGCCTCCCAGAGCGCTGGAATTACAGGTGTGAGCCACCCATGCCTGGCTTATATTTCAGTCCTTGTCTTGTGGTCTGCTTTTGGGACAACCCACATTGAGACAACTATAGGTATACATGTATCCTGCCACTCGAGATGTGTGTATATGTAAATAAATATATATATAAAATATACGTATATGTTTGTAATTTCTGAAAGTCATTTCACTTTATAGAATATTCCTAGGTTATTATTCCAATGTTGAGTCCCAAATAGCTGGTGGTAAGATGAAGCAATTTTTTTAGAGTTAACATTGACGGGTGGCTGGGCGTGGTGGCTCATGCCTGAATCCCAGCATTTTGGGAGGCTGAGGCGGGAGAATCACTTGAGGCCAGAAGTTTAAGACCAGCCTGGCCAACATGGAGAAACCCCGTCTCTACTAAAAAATACAAAAATTAGCCATGTATGGTGGCTTGTGCCTGTAATCCCAGCTACTCAGGAGGCTGAGGCATGAGAATCGCTTGAACCTGGGAGGCAGAAGTTGCAGTGAGCCGAGATTGTGCCACTGCACTCCAGCCTGGGTGACCGAGACTCTGTTTCAAAAAAAAAAAAAAAAATTTATGATGTTATGTATTATTTCTTCCTAAAAGAAAAATAATTAGTGGTTGATGGGCACAGCTGCAAGTAAAACAGGGAGATAATGAAATAAGTATGAATAAATGGAGTGAGAAGAAATCTCATATTAGACCTGTCGAAATATCCTGTAAAATGAAAATACGGTTTGTCTTTTATCACTGACAATCAGAGCACAATCTTTAAATGAATACATTAATAGATGGCAGGCTTATACTCACACTCATATACTCACACACACACTGTGTGGGGGCACAGGCAGGATTGAAATATGGTGTCTGTTACAATGACAATGATGCAACAACAGAACTTGGAAATAGGCCAGGAACGGTGGCTCACACCTGTAATCCCAGCACTTTGGGAGGCCGAGGCAGGTGGATCACCTGAGGTCAGGAGCTCGAGACCAGCCTGTGCAAAATGTGGAAACCTCAGTCCTACTAAATATACAAAAATTAGCTGGGCATGGTGGTGTGCACCTGTAATTCCAGCTACTCAGGAAGCTGAAGCACGAGAATTGCTTGAACCTGGGAGGAGGAGGCTGCAGTGAGCTGAGATTGCACCACTGCACTCCAGCCTGGGCAACAGAATGAGACTCCATCTCAAAAAAAAAAAAAAAAGAATTTGGAAATAATGTTATAGAGGTCAAAGGTAAGGCAGTTAAGGCATCAGGTGGGGTGATGGAGAGAATGTTGCTGCAGGCAGAAAGTTAGAAAGTGTGAGCATGACCATAGCTGGACAGAAGGATTCAAGGGAGATTTGCTATCTGTCTGTCCTTGATGTGGGATAATTTTGCAATAACTGTCACGTGGTAGGTACTGGATGAACATGTGTGGTTTCTGCATCACTTTAGTTATCTACAGAGCACCTAGTAAGATATATATTGTGTGGTTCTGAAGATGATTTCAGACAGAGATGTAAGATTCCTGTGAGATTATTGCCTATGTATTTTGGGGCCCATCAGGGATGCCTGACTGCACTGGAACAAGTGATCTATTTTGGTGTGCAGAGTACAAAGGGGTGGGAGGGGCATGCCCCTTTTCTGTAGATGTCGTGTTGTTCTAGGGATGCTGTCTGCTATTGTATTCTCATCAGAGTGGTAGTGGAAGAGAAAGGAAGAGCATCTAGAGACAATGCAAGTAACAACCCAGAAAAGCCTGGAAAGTGAAGAGAACTGCTAGTGTGTGAGAAGATTATTAATTTATTAAAAAGTATATTTGGAGCACCTGTAATGTAAACCCACACTGTGCTAGGCATGCAAAGAACCAAACAGACATGAGGTCTCTAGACTCATGGAGCTAGTTGGAGGAGGGAAACACAAATTACTGAATCCCAGGAATATTAAGTTATGTGCAGGAAATGAAAATAAGATGCTACGAAAACAGATGACAAGGAAACCAACTCTGGGGGATTCCAGAAGTTTCCCCCAAGGAAATTAATTATTAGGATTTCGAGAACAGAAGTGCGCAATTGTAAATATAGTGAATTTCACAAGCTTCCACTTATTTGTTTTAGTACGTGTTTGGAATTTCTGGGATAGCTGCTGTTTCTGGTGCAGTTTCAATGCTTCTGTCTAATTACTTGCTAATTTGGCTGCATAATTTATCAGGTCCATATTTTTTGTTACCAAGCACTCCCTGAGTGTCTCCTTGGCTCCGGTGCAGCCAAATGAATGGCAGTACTATTCTATTAAAATTGCACCCATGCACATTTATTTTCTGTTACATTGAACGGGATTTTCATCATTTTCCACTTGGCTGTATTCAAAGTGAAATTAGCCTTGTGCATCATCCTATCTAGAACGTATTGTTCAATAATTTCTATCCTTTCTATCATTCGCTTCTCTATCTCTTAGCATGCTGAAAATTGTTCAGTATTTCTTGTTTAATTTTGGAAATTTTAGCAAAATTCAGTTGGCTTTTAAGTGATACTCAATCAGTGAAACCCAGTCATTCCAGGTAATTTTAAGTACCATTGACTGTAAAGACATAGACACAGCATCGTCATTAAAGTAGAAGAAGACAAATTGTTGCCCCTCAGAGTCAGTAAAATAGTTTTTTTACAGTCCGTTTCACTAAGTGTTTAGAATGTGTATTACCTGATTAATCAATGTGTCTTGAACCTTGACAATGTCAATGTATTCTCACTGTTCAGTACAGGATTGGCAGCGAGAGAGGAGTAGAATTATTAAGGTCTATTTGCCATGAAGTAGTACATTATCAGGCTTATGATTAAAGTAGCTGTTGGCTAACATTTGGTAAAGAGAAGATCAGAATTATGGGAGGACAGAAAAGGATATATAAATTTTGTCTTTCTGATTCACAGTAATTGGATCTGACTGGCTAACTCTTGTCCCATAAAATAACTCTTAATTACTTGTGGGAGGGGGGAGGTGCTTCAGGCAAAAATGTGGACCAGGGAATAAATTCATTATTTTGGACATTGAAAATGGTATTTCACAAACGTTTTAGAACAGTTGACTCTTTCAAATGTAAGCTTTTCCCTAAAGATTTTTAAATTTATTTTGCTCTTCAATATTCAGTTTTTTTCTCTTTTAGCGTGATTAAAGACTGTTTCTATTGGCTTAAAGATTGTTCTCTTGATTAAAAGTGAAAGAGATCATTGTTAGGTGTTCTCCTTTATTGATGCAGATTTAGGATTGAAGTTATCTTTATGTATGAAATTATAAATTCTATATTATAATAAATAAAATCTATAGTATAGTCTATAATAAATTCTGAAAAGGGCTGTATAAAGCAAACACTTGCAGAATCTTTATTCTTCTCTACTTGTTTCCTTTATACTTTGATGGCTGCGTACCCATGGAAAATATCGTCATCAAAAGGAAATAAAATTGAAGGCCGGGCACAGTGGCACCTGCCTATTATCCCAGTACTTTGTGAAGCCAAAGAGGGAGGATGACTGGAGCTCAGGAGTTTGAGACCAGCCTGGATACCATACTAAAACCCCATCTCTACAACAATTTTTTTTTTAAATTAGAAGGGCACGGTGACACACTCCTGTAGTCCCAGCTAGTGGGGAGGCTGAGGCAGGAGGATCCCTTGATCCCAGGAGGTTGAGGCAGCAGTGAGCTGTGATTACACCACTACACTCTAGCCTGAGCAACAAAGCAAGACCCAGTCTTAAAAAAAAATTAAGTTTAAGACTTGTTCTAATTTGTATGAATCCTTTTAATTCTAAGATCTCACTCATTCAGGGCTAGTTAATTGGGCAATTTATACACACAATTTTTTTGCATGCCTGTTAGAAGCACAGGTCAATTAAACTACATACTATACAATTTCTTTTGTATTACGGACTGCTGTAAATTGGATTTCCTGGGCAACACACTCTGGGATACAGATTTGTATATAGGACACTTATTAGGAAGTGCTCTCAGGAACAATGCCCATGAGGGAAACAGGACTAAGCAGCAGGAGAAGACAGATAGATCCTAATGCAGTTGCAACAGAGGACTCAGCCAGTTCCACAGGGGGCTTGAGGCTGGCATGGCCTTTCCCAGTTGTGTTCTACCCCAGGTAAGGGGCTAGGCATCAGTCAGTCATGACGTGGCTGCCTCTCAGGAGCTGTGATATGTTTTGGCTCTGTGTCTCCACCCAAATCTCTTGTCAAATTGTCATCCCCATGTATCAGGGGAGGAGCCTGGTGGGATGTGATTGGATCATGGGGCTGGATTTCCCCCTTGCTGTTCTCGCGATTTCACCCTTGCTGTTCTCGTGTTCTGTTCTCATGACTGAGTTCTCATGAGATCTGATGGTTTAAAAGTGTGGGCACTTCCCCCTTTGCTCTCTCCTGCTGCCCTGTTAGAAGATGTGCCAGCTTTCCCTTTGCCTTCCGCCACGACTGTAAGTTTCCTGAGGCCTCCCCACTCAGGTGGAACTGTGAGTCAATTAAACCTCTTTCCTTTATAAATTACCCAGTCTCAGGCAGTTCTTTATAGTAGTGTGACACCAATACAAGGTGTCACCTTGGAAGAGACAGTTCCTTTCACAGAGGACACCTGTGTGGGAAGGATCCAGTGTGGGCCATCAGCAGACAAAACTCCCAGTAGCTGGCAGGATGAAAGTAGAGGGCCTGGGTGGCATGCCACAGCATTCTGTACAGGTGTTATCAACTATCTCATGGTGCCTAAATCAGCCCCAGGAGATATGCATGAGTATCTAGTCTCTAGATGACCCTTATAGAGTTTTTGGGTATGATCACATGTAATGCAAATATTCACATGACTTTCACCATAACAAAAATGTGCACTAGCTTTTATTTTATTTTATTTATTTTTATTTATTTATTTTTTTGACGGAGTCTCGCTCTGTCGCCCAGGCTGGAGTGCAGTGGCGTGATCTCAGCTCACTGCAAGCTCCGCTTCTCGGGTTCACGCCATTCTCCTGCCTCAGCCTCCCGAGTAGCTGGGACTACAGGCGCCCGCCACCACACCCAGCTAATTTTTTGTATTTTTAGTAGAGACGGGGTTTCCCCGTGTAGCCAGGATGGTCTCGATCTCCTGACCTCGTGATCCGCCCGTCTCGGCCTCCGAAAGTGCTGGGATTACAGGCATAAGCCACAGTGCCCAGCCCACTATCTCTTTTATAAAGCACTTTAGAGTCTTTAGACTTTGAGGTAATAATTTTTTTTAAAAGTTAACTATATCATGGTTATCATTTTAAAACCTCCTCCTTATCCATTTGGAAAACGTGTGTCTATTTAAGTCTCCACCAGGTTGTAATATTTTTTAAAGGAAATTCTGATGATATAAATGCAAAAGAAAAAATAGGAAAGCATCTTTCAAATTAGCATGACTGCATGATATCAGATTCAGAAAGGGTAGGTGGAAAGATAAAGTGTGTGTTAAAAAAATGTGTGCAAATCAATGGCTGTGAAGTTGTAAGAAGATTGTAGGAAAAAAGCTAAAGGATACAAGAACCTCCAATGTTTTTTGATAGCCATGTTTTAAACAAAAACAAGAAAGGGATATGATGCTCACTGTTTGGAGCAGATGGCATATTGTTCCCTGAGGGTGGGGAAATCAGAACAGCTCCTTTTTTCTTCTGTCTATGACTTCCTTTTCAAAGACAATGATCTTCATATTGGAAACATCTAGCCATAAAGGAGGCAATGGAAACGCGACTGTGTGGAGTCGTTATTTTTTTTGTTTTTTTGTTTTTGTTTGCTTGTTTTGAGACAGAGTCTTGCCCTGTTGCCCAGGCTGGAGTGCAGTGGCACAAACATGATTCACTGCAGACTCATCCTCCCCCTCAAGCCATCCTCCCACCTCAGCCTTCCAAGTAGCTGGGACCACAGGCACACACTGCCATGCCCAGCTAATTTAAAAATTTTTTGTACAGACAAAGTCTCACCATGTTGCCCAGGCTGGTCTCGAACTCCTGAGCTCAAGCAATCTTCCTGCCTTGGCCTCCCAAAGTGCTGGGATTACAGGTGTGAGCCACTGCCCCCAGCTCTTCCAGTCATTTTAAGCAAATTTCATTCTCCACATGGAGAAAAATTACAGCCTGGTACTAAAGGTTCTTTATATGTGTAATTCGATACTTACTACTGGTGATCATTAATGAATCACAGAGAAGTTGAGAGATGATAGAAAATGACAAAGGGAAAAAATGTTATTTTGCTATGTAAAGGGAAGATAAAGATTTATTTTGGAAACCATAGATTGGTGAGCATGACTAAATTTTTCTTTTTTTTTTTTTTTTTTTTTTGAGATGGAGCCTTGCTCTTATTGCCCAGGCTGGACGGCAGTGGCACGATCTCCGCTCACTGCAACCTCTGCCTCCCAGGTTCAAGCGATTCTCCTGCCTCAGCCTCCCCAGTAGCTGGAATTACAAGCACCTGCCACCACGCTTGGCTAATTTTTGTATTTTTAGTAGAGACGGGGTTTCGCCATGTTGGCCATGCTGGTCTCGAACTCCTGACCTCAAGTGATTCACCTGCCTCGGCCTCCCAAAGTGCTGGGATTACAGGCATGAGCCATCGCGCCCAGCTAGCTTGACTTAAATTACTGTAAACAATTTGAAAGGAAAATGATAACAATTGGAGGCCATATGTCTGGCTAACCTCATTTCTTGCTTTGGAGGGAAGCAAGGAGAATGCTTGTAACAACAAGGGCCCTGTAGGTAAAAGCCATGGGTTCGAATCCTCCTTTTGTCATCTATCAACTGAATGACAGTGGTCATGTCCTATGAACACTCAGAGCTTCAGTTTTCTCATATGTATGTAACCTTGTTGAAATCACAGGCCCATGGCATTCAGCCCAGGCTGGTATTTCAGGAAGCACAACTCAACATGCCAGAAAAAAAATTTGTGTCCTTATTTTCCTTCTTCTTAAAGTACATAAAAAGGGCTCCAGGCTGCACATGGTGGCACATGCCTGTAATCCCAGCACTTTGGGAGAATCACTTGAGCTCAGGAGCTTGAGACCAGCCGGAACAAAGCAAGACCCCATATCTGCAAAAAAATGCAAAAAAAAATTAGCTGAGTTTGGTGGCACATGCCTGTAGTCCCAGCTACTTGGAAGGCTGAGGTGGGAGGATTGCTTGAGACCAGGAGCTCCAGGCTGCAGTGAGCTTTGATCGCACTACTGTACTCCAGCCTGGGTGACAGAGTGGCCCTAATTCAGAATCCTCATCTATGCTGCAATCCCATTTACTCTTCTCAGTTATTTATTTCCCACACCCTCTCCCAAACTCAAGTTTGACAAATGCTGAAAGAACTTTCTCACTTACACCTGGACTATATAGATTTCTTTCCCCTTCCTGTACTCCCTCCCCTACCTCCTCACATACACCTCTGTACTTTATTATTTTTGACTGACAACAGATTTCTCCAAGTCTTACCCCTCCTAAGCCTTTCAGGTTCTATCTTCTATTAATTCCCTGTCAACTCTCTAACTCTGATGTGTGAAGAGCCCAGGACTGGTCTAGCTGAGACAATTCTCCCTAGGAGACAGATGGGGCAGGAACAAAAGGAGAAGCAGGGAAGGCAATTAGGGGCTTATTTTGGCAGCCTGGAGCTGGGTGGAGAGTCTGAGATCAACTTCATTCTTTCAGTGAACATTCATTGTGTGCCAGGTCTGTGCTTGGTGCTGGAGAATGTGCAGGGAGCATGCCAGACAAAAGCCTGCCCTCCTGGAGCTCACTGTGCTAAGTGGTAGGAAAGAAGTCGAAATAAATGCTGATGGCGGGGGTGGGAGGTGAGCATTCCATAGGGAGTAGCAAAAGTCACTCTGAGGGGTTGACATTCGAGTTAAGACCTGAAGCACTAACAGGAACGCTCAAGGCAGAGGAACAGCAGCCCTAAACATGGCATATTTGAGAAGCAGAAAGAATGGATCATGGAGGGTGATAGGGTTTGGATGGTTGTCCCCTCCAAATCTCATGTTGAAATGTGAGCTTCAGTGTTAGAAGTGGGCCTAGTGAGAGGTGTTTGGGTCATGGGGGCAGATCCCTCATGAATGTCTCGGCAGTAATGAGTGAGTTCTTATTCTCTGAGTTCACACAAGATCTGGTTGTTTCAAAAAGCCTGGCACTGTCTCCTCTCTCTCTCTCTCTATCCATGTGATGTGCTGGCTCTCCTTTACATCCCGCCATGATTATAAGCTTCCTGAATCCCTCACCAGAAGCAGATGCTGGCACGATGCTTTGTGTACAGCCTGCAGAACTGTGAGCCAAATAAACCTCTTTTCCTGATGAACTACCCAGTCTCAGGCATTTATTTACAGCAATGTAAATGGACCAATACAGAGAGCAAAGGAGGAAATAGACCTACTAAGTCAGGTTATGTTGTAGGATGCAAGCCTTGGTGAGGATGAGTTTTATTCTAATAATAAGTGAAGCCTCAGAAGGGTTCTGAGCAAGGGCATGACAATATGTCATGTATGACAAGTATGATTTAAGTTTTTAAAAGAGTACTCTGATAGCTGCATAGAGAATGTGTGGCAGTCAGGCAATTGAAGCAGAAAGACTACTTATGGGGCCATGGCTTCCATCCAGACAAGAGCTGATGTGCCTTGAATGAGGCAATAGAAGTACCGATAAAGAGAAGTAGATGGATTTACGGCTGAATCGTCAAAAGCCCGGGTATAGGAGAGAAGAGAAGGACAGGAATCCGAATGATAAATGTTTGGCTTGAGCAGTTCATTACCATCCATAGAGATGGGGAAGACTGGAAAAGAGGGAAGTCAAAGGTTATGTTTTGGATATGCTACATTTGACAAGACTATTAGACGTCCAATTGGAAATGTCAGATGGGCATTTCGACCATATAAATGAGTCTGGAGCTCAAGGGAGAGGTCAGAACTGCACATATCAATCTGGGTGTCATCGCCAGAGAGATAGGACTCAAAGCCAGAGAGTAGAATGAGCTCACTTAGCTCTGGAGATAGGTGGAGAAGAAAAGGGGATCTAGGAGCAAGTTCTAGGGTATTCCCACATTTAGAGGCTTGAAAGAGAAGCAGAAGCCAGCAAAGGAGAGGCAGAGGGAGCAGCCAGGGATGCAGAAAGAAAACCAGGAGAGTGTGATGTGGTTTTCAGGGAAGAGGAGCAGTTGACTGGGTCAGGTGTTCTTGAAAGATCAAGTAAGATAAGTGCGGCCCAGTACAGTGGCTCACCTCTGTAATCCCAGCCCTTTGGGAGGCTGAGGCCGGTGGATCACTTGAGGTCAGGAGTTCAAGACCAGCCTGGGCAACATGGTGAAACCCTGTCTCTACTAAAAATAAAAAAATTAGCTGAGCACGGTGGCGCACCTGTAATCCCAGTTACTCGGGAGGCTGAGGCAGGAGAATCGCATAAACCTGGGAGGTGGAGGTTGCAGTGAGCCGATATCATGCCACTGCACTCCAGCCTGGGTGACAGAGCAGGATTCTGTCTCAAAAAAAAAAAAAAAAAAAAAAAAGACAAGTGAGGCGTCCATTGAATTTGGAACATGGGGGCTTTTGATGAGCTTGAGATGAGCCATGTTGGGTGAGAGAGCCCTTTCTTTCCACTCTGCATGTCTGATATTTGAGTCTGAGAAATAAACTAACAGATCACTTAACGAGAGAAAAGGCTAACACATATATTATGTGTATGCGTGCATTCCAGGAAGGTGAGTGTCCAATGACCCAATGGGATTTAGAAGCTTATATACCCTTCTTCACAGGGAGGGGGAAGGGTGGGATGCAGACAATTTAGAGGAGGAGTAAATGAGTTTTAGGGAAGATGAATGGGCCTGAAGAACAGATGGTAGTCTGAGACAAAGCCCATCTGGACTCCTGGTGTGTCATCAATTCTAGTCTTCTTTTCCTGGGATAGGCTTCAGTCTTCTCCCAGTCATTGAGATACCCTGGGGAAGCGATTGACAATGATTGAGTATCTTAGGAGAATCCTGTGTTTAGGTAGGGAGGGACCTTTGGGGAAAGTCCTTCTCTGCATTTGCTGCTCTCCATGTGCTCTCAGTTTGAAGTCTGAAGTGTCATATTTTGGGCTTTCATTTTCTGAGTCCCAGAAGCTACATTAGCCAGTTTTAAGTCTTCTGATGAGGGAATAGATTGTTGAGGAAGGGGAAGCAGTAATTTTAGATAATTTGTTAGAGAAGTGGTGCTTACAGGGGGTAGAAAAATGAGTTGGGAGATGGAGAGGGATTATGGAGTCAAGGGAGGAGCGTGTTTGTGTGCTTGTGAGAAGGATAACCCTAGTTATGTAAGAGAAGGAAGAGATGAGGGGGTCAGTAATGTTAAGAAAGTGAGACGGGCAGGAGCCAGAACATACTGGGGGTTACTGATTTTTGATGAGAGCAGGGACATTTTTTTCTGTTGTAACATATGGTAAGATGAAAAACACAGGCACTCTGAAGGACTGAATTCTGTCTCCCCAAAATTCATGTTGAAGCCACAGTCTCAAATGTGACTATATTAGAAGATAAGGTCTTTAGGGAGATAATTCTATTTAAATGAGGTCATAGAGCTACCCCTTAATTTGATAGGGCTGGTGTCTTTATAAGAAGAGGAAGAGACACTAGCACTCTCTCCCTCATGCATGCACCAAGAAAAGACAATGTGAGGACCCAGCCAGCAGGCAGCTGTCTGCAAGCCAGGAAGAGAGCCCTCACCAGGTACCAACGATGCCAACATTTTGAGTCTTCAAAATATGAGATGAAAAATTTCTGTTGTTTAAGCCACTCATTTTATGGTATTTTGTTATGGCAGCCCAAGCTGACTAAGACAGGCACAGAAACTTAGAGATTTTTAGATACAGTGGGAGCAGTATGAAAGTGTTGCTCCTCTGCAGGCTTCTATTTTTTTCAATAAAGTATGAAGTGAGGTCATCAGCAGCAGAGAGTGAGTGTGGAGGTGGGGATATGGGAGGTTGGAGGAGACGGGAGAATAAATAACAATTTTGAAAGAGGAAAATGAAATTTATTAGGAAAACATAGTAGGACTGCCAGGTATCCTTAAATGCCCATTTGAAGTTCATAGAACTTAGAGTGAAATCATTCAGGAGAGTTTCTCTAGCAGTATTTGGCTAGTTGGGGGTAGCCCCAAATGGCAAAGAGTTGGGTACATCCATGCCTCCAAATTTGCCAGTCAAGGACAACAGAAAAAGAAACAAGAGAGATAAGAATGTTTTCAAGGGTGTGAGTTGGGGAAGGAGGGAAATGAAGATAGGAGGCGTGTATGAAGATAGGAGGCGTGTATTGGGCATGGGGGCTTCTCAATGAGATTAAAGAATCACTGCAGAGAGAATACTAGAATAAGTGAGCTGGATAAATAGAATGTATTGACATTAACAGTAATATATTCATTATATGAAACTAGTGATAAAAAATACCCACTTCACAGGATTATTCCAAGGAACAAATGGAAATACTTGGTAAACGACAATGTGAGTTATCAGTCTTACAGTAACTAAAGTAATGTAGAAGATAAAACAGATCTTGATTTCTTTAGGCCATTCTACTACAACTATCATGAACAAAATCATAATATGTAAATGATAACATGCTAACTAGATTTATGACCATTGAAGAAGAATATCAAAATTGTTTATTCTGCTTATTTTTAGCTCTGGCCCAATTCTAGGGCCATTCCCTTGTCAAAATGGTCAGTATTTCTGTGTAAGACAATCCTTTATGTGAGAAATTTCAGAGTGGGACACTGTGTAAGTAAGCCATTTGGTGTTTTCCAGGTATCAGCAATGATTAGACAGAAGCGATGTCAAAGAACTATAATTTTAATTTCAGGAATTTTAAGCCAATAGTTGGAGGAACTCTGAAGAAATGTAGACAGTCTGTTTTTCTTATATCTTGAATTGCTCAAGCAGAATGAGAATGTGATAAGACTCGTAAATTCCAAATTACATTCGACTGTATCTAATAAAGAGATTTAAGAAGTTGAGAAAATATATGTTATTACTGGGAAAGAAATAGAAAGTTAAGCAAAAAAAAAAAAGAAGAGGAGAAGAAAAGATAATAAGTAGTTGAACTAAATGGAAGCGTTCAATGCCCAAGGAAAAAGCCCACAGCTGTAATAAAAATAATCATCCTGAATATTATATTCCTTGAATTAAAAAATGCATTCAATCTTTGATAGAGTTGAAAAAGAGGTGTTTTAGATAACAAAATGCTAGCACTGTGTAAACACTGATCTCAAATTCTCCTTAGTTCTCTTATACTAATGTGCACTTATATGGATTTACAGGTCCTTAGAAGTACTTACTGATTCATACATACTTTTATCTTTTGTTAATTGATGCATAATAATGTACATAGTTTTGGAGTACACATGACAATTTAATACATTTGTATAATTTGTAAATATCAAATCAGTATACTTGGGATATCCATTAAGTATTTGTCTTTTCTTTATGCTAAAAACACTCACCTTTTTCTCTTGTAGCTATTTTGAATTGTACAAAAGATGGTTGTAAACTATAATTACCCTGCTGATCTATCTAACATTAGGTCTTATTTCTTCTATCATATTGTATATTACCATATATACTTTTAAGTACTTACAGATATTTACCCATTCCTGTAAAATTCTTGCAGTCAAAGTTTCTACAGACCTGAATATTAGGAAAATGCAGGTTTAGTCCTAAAAAGGATACCGTGATGCAGCCATTGATGTAGCAGTGACTGGCTCCCCTAGGCTCAAACAATGCATTGACCTTTAGAGGGCAGCCAAGTGGAGCTCACGCAGGTTAATTCCAGTGCATGGCCTTGTTAGATCACATCATATCCCCTGCCTAGTGCCAGACACTTAATGCAGGAATAGTATGGTTTCAGGAGCCCCTCTCTGTCCAAAATTTGGTACCTGCTTCAGAGTCAGAATCCCAACTTTAGTGCCTTTGATTGGATTAATAATTTCTCTGAGCTCCAGGTCTGGGGATTGGGCTTGGCTTGGCAGTTGGGTTAGTCAATGGGATAGGATGTGGCTCTAGAGTTGCAGTGGCTGGAGGTTGGAGGGCCTGGGATGAGGGATAGGCTAGCAGGGAGAGCAGGCATTGTCCTAAGAAACAGAAGCCCAAAAATCTGTGATGTGAGGATGGTCACAGCAATTGCTAACCATGGTCAAGAGGGATCCCCAAAGGTGAAAGCTGAGAATGGCAAATCTCTTCAGCTGGAGTGGGGGTAGAAGTTGAGACAGGGGCAAGCATGGGCAGGCTAGGGAGGCAAGAGGGGCCAGGGTGCAGCGAGAGGGGCTTAAATGATTGCAGCCATTTGAACAGGCTGGCCATGGCTCTCTTTGGTTTTGCTTAAAGGCAACTGAGTTAGGAGTGAGGGCAGAAAAAAAAAAACATTCCTTAAAAGCATTTTCTGAAATGCAAATATATGTTCATCATGAAGTGTGAAACATTAAAAACTCATTAGAACTCATTGCCATGCATGATCCTGCTCACAAAGCCTAGTTTTTCAGATGAATAGGAAATAGGGCCAGGAATTAAAGAACAAGAACAGATATCCTCCAGGTGGAAGGTACTTTAGAGAGAAACCTGACATGTCTTGGAAAAGAGGTCTTGCAGGCAAATAGAGACAAAGCACCTGGGCTCTGCCAAGTTAGAATGAAGACAGCAAAGCAAAAGAAAATCTGCAACAAGACAAAGTAGCTCCAACTTAACTAGATGCAGGTTATTCCAAATTTAAGTGAAATAACAGTGGGGCATTTTATCAGCTGGGAAATTGGGAATAAGCAGATAGAAGATTAATACACTTTCATGCAATCAAGAGTTCAAGTCTGGGCCAGGTGCAGTGGCTCATGCCTGTAATCCCAGCACTTTGGGAGGCCCAGGTGGGAAGATCACCTGAGGTCAGGAGTTCGAGACCAGCCTGGCCAACATGGTGAAACCCCTTCTCTACTAAAAATACAAAATTAGCCGGGTGTGGTGGTGGGCACCTATAATCTCAGCTACTAGGGAGGGTGAGGCAGAAGAATTGCTTGAACCTGGGAGGCAGAGGTTGCAGTGAGCCGAGATCGCACTGCACTCCAGCCTGGGCGACAAGAGTGAAATTCTATCACACACACAGACACACACACACACACACACACAAAGAGTTCAAGTCTGTTGGGTAGGGTTATTCCTTCTGAGTTGTCTGAAATGACATGTGATTGATTGCATTTCTCAGAACCGACTACCACATTCAAGTAATTTTATTCCATCTTTTTTGAGGATCACTGTTTTGTGTGTTTCCTTGTTGAAATTCATCTGTAATTGTATCGCTTCATTTTGTGATTGATAGGTCCCTTGGGATGCTCTGCTAACCCTTCCTAATTACAGTTTACCTAAGCACAGTAAATTTGGTTAGCCAATTCTCTCACACTTTCATTAAATATTAATGAGAACACTTGAGTAACATCATTTTAAATATGGTAAAATCTCAATTAAATAGAATAAACAAGGATTGAGTTTTTCTAGTTAATTAAATCTTATAATTAGCTGAAGGTTAACCAGGGGATCTTTTGGTTTGAAACCCTCCTGGTGATTTTTTTCTAGTGTCTTATTTTGTTTTTCCATCTGATCCACTCCAGGTTTTAATTTTCCCTGGATGAGTTACCATCTTGCAATACCTCATGCTTAGTTGTCTCTTATTCATTCATTCATTTGTTCAAATTTATTAGGAGGCTACTAATAGATGAGGAAGTCATACCAGAGACAGACATGACAATGGTAAAACAGCACATAAAGGGCAAATTCTAGAAGTTGTTCTTTCAACAAATTCTAGTTTATAGTTTTTGCTATTATTGTCTTACAAAGCGTGGGTTATAGAAAAAAAAAATCTTGGTTGATGGGGAGATTCTTGTGTGCTTCCTGTTAACTGAATGAAGTAGTTTTCCTCCTTTGCGTTTCAGAATTTTGAAAATCATCATTATTTTTTGACAAGGCCTTTGCCTCATTTATAAAACTGTCTCAGTACGATGAGACATATCACTTGCTATTTATACTTTATTGTGACATACTCTTCTTGCTATTTCATTTCTTATTTAAGGTGCATGCAAATGTTTGGGCATGATTTCTGAAAGATTTTTTGCACTAATCTTTGTTCTGATGACACTCAGCTGAACTCCACAAATAAACCCCAAACAGTCTTTAGAAGATACACAAACACTCTCCAGTTTTGAATGTTAAACCAGCATATTAGGATTCTGTTCACTGCTCACATGTGTCTGACAACTAGTTTTTGTAGTGTTAGGTTTTCATGGTATATCATTTCCCTGGGGCTTCCACATTAATTAGGCAGCTTTTCCATATTGACTCCCAGACTTGGACCGGTTTTCATTGGTTCACTTCTTTCTTGCTCTGTTGGCCAGAAATCACTCTATGGTTTTTGTTTATTGTTTGTTTGTTTGTGATGGAGTTTCGCTCTTGTTGTCCAGGCTGGAGTGCAATGGCGCGATCTTGGCTCACCACAACCTCTGCCTCCTGAGTTCAAGCAATTCTCCCGCCTCAGCCTCCCGAGTAGCTGGGATTACAGGCATGCACCACCATGCCGGCTAATTTTGTACTTTTAGTAGAGACGGGGTTTCTCCATGTTGGTCAGGCTGGTCTCAAACTCTCGATCTCAGAAGACCCGCCTACCTTGGCCTCCCAAAGTGCACTGGTACAACCACAGCTTACTGCAGCCTCATACTCCTAGGTTCACTTTTTTTTTTTGGTATAGGCAGGGTCTTGCTATGTTGCCCAAGCTGGTCTTGAACTCCTAGGCTCAAGTGATCTGCCTGCCTTCGCCTCCCAAATTGCTGAGATCCTGCCTTGGCCTCCCAAATTGCTGAGATTACAGGCATGACCCACCACACCTGGCTGCTCTACCCTATTAAACTTTGTTTTGCCTTGTTTTGTTCTTTTAAAGAAGATTCCACAACACCCTCTACAGGAGTTCCTAGGTATTGAACCTGATGCTTTCCTGAAAATGAATATAAAACATGAATATGTAAAAGTTGAGCTATAGACTTGCAGATTGTAAGAGAATCTTCACTCTTAGATGAGTAAACTTATTTTAAAACTGTAGTTATGGTTCAAATATTTAAGTATTTGTAAATTATTTAATGTTACAGCACCTAATAGCCATCTCAAACACTCAAATTAGCATGGAGTCAACACTGAATACAGATAAGGTATTTTCCCATTAAAATTCTTATTTCAGCTGGATGCTGTGGCTCACGCCTGTAATCCCAACACTTTGGGAGGCCAAGGCAGGCAGATCACCTGAGGTTGGGAGTTTGAGACCAGCCTGACCAATATGGAGAAACCCCATCTCTACTAAAAATACAAAAAAAAAAAAAAGAAAGAAAGAAAATAAAATTAGCCAGGCATGGTGGCACATGCCTGTAATCCCAGCTACTTGGGAGGCTGAGGCAGGAGAATCTCTTGAACCCGAGAGGCAGAGGTTGTGGTGAGCCAACATTGTGCCATCACCCTCCAGCCTGTGTAACAAGAGCGAAACTCCGTCTCAAAAAAAATAAATAAATAAAAATAAAAAATAAAATTCTTCTCTCAAAATTCACTTATTTGAGTTTTAGTGAAGATGTATTTATTTATTCATTTATTTATTTTATCTTTTTTTTTTGAGACAATCTCGCTCTGTCACCCAGGCTGGAGTGCAGTGGCACCATCGCGGCTCACTGCAACCTCCACCTCCCGGGTTCAAGCGATTCTCCTCTCTCAGTCTCCCAAGTAGCTGAGATTACAGATGCCCCCATGCCCAGCTAATTTTTGCCTTTCTAGTAGAGACGGGGTTTCACATGTTGGCCAGGCTGATCCTGAACTCCTGACCTCAAGTGATCCACCCTCCTCGGCCTCCCAAACTGCTGAGATTACAGGTGTGAGCCACCGTGCCTGGCCTGAGGAAATATTTAATTAGCAGAGAAATTTACTTCTTTTTTTGGTTGAGAAAAAGAACTTGCTGATGGTGATTGCATAGCTAATATGGACACGTAAGCATGTATATAACTGACATTTAATGACATTTCCAGAACTCACATTCTTGGATTGGGTGTCTTCTCAGAAGCGACAGGGTTTCTTCGGTCGTCATCCAGTTTGCTTGCACAAACCCTATTCAAGGGTTGCATTTGTCGGGCTGGATCCAGAGCGGAGCCTGACTGGGTGCTTTGGCCATGATGGATGGGGGTTACTCTCTTCTCTGTAGCAGAACTCCTGGAAGACTGAACCATGCCACTGAATCAGGAAAATAATTATGTTAGATGTCCCCAGTAACATAAGTCTCCTCTTCCATTATTTCCTTTATTATGATTTTTATCTGAAAATTAAAAACAGAACACTTATTGGTGACATGATGAGAGCTCACTTTACTTTTGTAGCTTTCAAATGGACTCACTGCTTTTCCCACAAACCCTTCTGCCTATGAGACAGTCCAACATTTCTTGTGTGTGAAGTCTTGCTCTAGACTATTATGAAAAAGACGGTCAGGGCAGAAGAACTTGATCCAGGAGACTTTTAAGAACTTGTTACTCAAAGTGAGACCCTTAGTCCAGTGGGACTGGCATTGTCTGGGAGCTCGTAGATATGACACCAAACCAGGTTCATTCTGCCTGCACACAGTAAGCCAGTCATGGTGACAATGGGTTTTGCAAAAGAGAAAAGATTTACTCACAGGGCAACCCAGCCAGGAGATGGGAGAACAGCTCTCAAATCTACCTCCTCAAGGATAATGCTTAGGGATATTTATGGAGTAAAGAATTAGGATGGTCTAAGGTGGGGAAAGGTGATTGAGGGTGGGGAGAAGTGAGGTAACTGGTGATCTGAGCAAGTGCAGTCTGGGCTCACGGCTCTTCTTAGGACACATGGTCAGAAAATAGCAGTGTTAACATGATCTGAGGGTGGAGTTTTGGCCCTCTGATGGCAAGTGTCACTTTTCCGACATCCATGCAGGTGCATTCAGAGGGTTGGTGGTCTCAGCTGGTTTGAACTGGACAGGGGCCGCCCCAAGTTCCTGAAAGACAACTTAAGCAATTGTTACTATGGTGACATATATGTCAGAGTGTTATTTATAGGGAAGCTAGTGAAGGCTAAGTTATAGCATTTAGCAGCCTGACTTTAAGCTATGTGGGTTTAAAAAATCAACAAGCAGCAAAAATCAACAAGGTGCAAGCAACTTAAAAGATTAGCCCTCAGTAGCCGGACGTGGTGGTTCACACCTGTAATGCCAACACTTTGAGAGGCCAAGGCAGGCAGATCACCTGAGGTCAGGAGTTCAAGGCAGCCTGGCCAACATGGAGAAACACCATATCTACTAAAAATAAAAATTAGCCAGGTGTGGTGGCACATGCCTGTAATCCCAGCTACTTGGGAGGCTGATGGGGGAGAATCACTTGAACACGGGAGGCGGAGGTTTTGGTGAGCTGAGATTGCACCGTTGCACTCCAGCCTGGGCAACAAGAACAAAATTCCATCTCAAAAAAAAAAAAAAAAAAAAGATTAGCCCTCGGTTTCAGAAATGTAGAATATTAGGGCCTACCCTGGATCTACTCAACCAGAATCTGCATTTTAACACATTTCTCAGGTGATTCATGGGCACACTGCAGTTGAAGAAGTGCTGCCTTAAGAGGCCTGCCAAGACAGTAACAACCGCCGCTGTATAGACTATGAATGGGAGAAAAAAGTAACTCTTCCTCAACCCTCATACGTTTGTAGTTGGGACAGACTCACAAGAAAAGACAGATTAACAAGAGAAAAACAAGCAAGTATATTAATGCATGCAGTGCACATCCCGTGGGAGAAAAGTAACTCAAAGCAGTGGCTTTAAGAGTCTGGCTTATGTCGTATATTCGACAAAGAACAATACAGCTCAGAGAAGTGACAAGACAAAGGGGAAGCTGTCCCAGGATCCTAGAAGTGGGAAAATGTGGGAAGGCAAATTTATGGGAAATGAAGGGAGTGAAGTCCACTGGCAGAATCTCCTGGCTTTGTTGCTGAGCTGATAAAAGGTTGTAAAGGAGAATTTACATCCTGGCTTTAGGTGCAAAATAGGGGGAGGGTAGAAGACCTTTTGTCTTTGCAATTCTCTGCCCTGCTTTTAGGCAAACAGAAGGAAGGCAGAGAGCTTTTCTGTCTGCTTCTTAATTGCCTTTAGCTCAAAAAACATTTATGTCAAAGAGGCATATTTTGAGGTGACACATTCTGGTTTCTTTGAACAAATACTGCTGAATACTGATTATTAAGCAGGGTCTCCACTCCAATGACTGTGCTAAGTGTTTTTATGCATTGTCTCATACAGATTTTGCATCAAATTCATCAAAGAGAGGATTATTCTCATTTTGCACCTGAGGAAGCTGAAATCATAGAAGGGCTAAATAACTTTCTTCTTTTTTTTTTTTTTTTTTGAAATGGAGTCTTGCTCTCTTGCCCAGGCTGGAGTGCAATGATGGCATGATCGTGGCTCACTGCAACCTCCACCTCCTGGATTCAAGTAATTCTCCTGCCTCAGTCTCCTGAGTAGGGGGCACTACAGGCACCCACTACCACGCCCGGCTAAGTTTTGTACTTTTAGTAGAGACAGGGTTTTGCCATGTTGGCCAGGCTGGTCTTGAACTCCTGACCTTGTGAAATGCCCACCTCGGCCTCCCAAAGTGCTGGGATTACAGGAATGAGCCACCACATCCAGCCAATAACTTTCTTAAGGTTAAGCATCTAGTATGTATCAGAGCAGGAATTTGAGTGATTGTCCACTTGCCTTTAAAGTTTATCCTCTTGATCACTGTAATTTGTTTATTTGATTCAAATATGTTGTCAGCAACCTCATTTGAGGTGTTAAAAGATAATTTTCATATAAGGTAAAATCATGTATTTCATACAGCTACGAAAATGATCACTTTTTAAATATTTATTTTATTTTTTATTTTTTAGACAGGGTCTCACTGTTGCCCAGGATTTCAGTGGTGTGATCGTGGCTCACTGCAGGCTTGAACTCCTGGGCTCAGGCAATCCTCCTGTCTCAGCTTCTGGAGTAGCTAGGACTACAGGCAGGTACTACCATGCCTGGCTATTTTTTAAAGTTTTTTTATAAAGGTGAGTTCTTGAAATTTTGCTCAGGCTGCTTTCGAACTCCTGGGCTCAACCGTAAAGATTTAATTTAAATTATCAGTGAGAAAACTGGAAAGGTGTTATAACCAGTTCAAAGGAGAATCCACAGAATAGATACATTTACATGTATAGATCAGAACTATTGAGCTGAGTGTGTCAATGGAGGCAGAACTACTTTTTCCTTGTGGTGTGGGAGAGGGAGAGTTGCCTCTCCCCTGGACACAATTCATTTGCATACCTATGGATAAGAATTATTTTGTACTGTTATCAGTTATGCACAATTTATAGAATTGCAAAATAGCTCAGTTAAAGAAGAAAGTATTCATGACACTCGTTAAAACAGTATGGCAGAATTTATTCAGGACTATTGTGGTAGGTGTAGAGACTACTGCAATGAGGTTTGCAGTAGGAAAGAGAGATTGGGGTCAACTTCGAATACAAGGAAAGGTGGGGATTTATAGGCAAGGAGCAGCGCAGCGGGGTCAGTGGATGGAAAATCACTACGAGGAAACATCAGAGGTAAGGTGCAATTCTGGGTAAGGCTGACTAGGGTGATCAGACATCACCTAGGGCATGGTGAGGGATGAAGAATTTTATCAGAAATCAAAGATGGTCAGATATTAAGCATAGGGGATTCTGGCCAAACTGACTTAGTAACATCTTTGCTAAGATGAGCTCTTGAGGCTGTGTCCAAGGATGAGGGCTTGTTGAAAAAGAACTGGGGTAGCTTGGTTAAGGAGAACATCTTTGTCAGCTCCCATAGACTCAGAATTCGATACAATGGAGGGGCTGCTGGTGCTGTGGACAATGAGGTGGTTCTCCATTGAAGGGCAAATTTTCCCCTATGAGGGAGGTAGAATGGCGTAACGTCTGAGTTCAAAACTCCACTCCACTTCCAACTCGGACAGCGACTTCGGGTATGTTATTTAATCTTCCAGTGTCTCAATTTCCTCAGTTTATAAAATAGACCTAGTATCTAACCTGTATGTTCAATGTGAGAAGTAAATGAAATGAGATGACACATGTGTAAACTTCTTAAAACAATACACATGGCACCTAATGACCATTCAATATACATCACTCTTATGGCCTCCATTCTTTTTTTTTTTTTTTTTTTTTTGAGACAGTGTCTTCCTCTGTCACCCAGGCTGGAGTGCAGTGGCACCATCTCTGCTCACTGCAGCCTCTGCCTCCCGGGTTCAAGCGATTCTCCCACCTCAGCCTCCCAAGTAGCTGAGATTAAAGGCATGCACCACCACACCTGGGTAATTTTTTTTGTAATTTCAGTAGAGACGGAGTTTCATCATTTGACCAGGCTGGTCTCAAACTCCTGACCTCAGGTGATCCACCTGCCTTGGCCTCCCAAAGTGCTGGGGTTACAGGCATGAGCCACCGTGCCCAGCTCCTTCATTCTTAACTAAGATGGCATATAAGGATTCTTACATCAGGGAATGTGGATATTAATATTAAAAAATACTTAGCGTATCCAAGATTTTCAAATTCAAGGCACACTAAAGAGAGGTCAAAATAATCTTAGCTGTTTAGAGTAAGAAAAGATATGTATATTAGACCAGACAAGTGCAGTAATGAGAAGGGGAAAAAGAGTAGAATGAGGAATTCAATCTGTAACTGACGGTGAACAATCAATTGAGATAACTCACTACCTTCAGACCAGCCTAGAGTAAGAGAATATCGTTGGAAGTCGGTTAAAAAAGACAGAAACACTGTACTGTGGGTGAATTCCACACTGACTCTACACTTTTAGGCTTGCTTCCCACAGCCAAGGACCTGTCACTTCTGGACCAGTGAAATGAGGCACAGATGCTCATGTTTGCAACTTGTTTTCAATCTGTTTCTATTTTATTTTCTCTCTACTCGCCTAAAGACACCATTTCCTAATTAGGGTCCCACTTTTGCACACTGAATTTGAGGTTTTTATAAATCTCCATATCAAATCTGTCCTTTTGATAACTCCCACTTCAGGCAACTGAGGCAAGCCAATACTTTGACTGCCCAAAGGACTCACGCCTGAGCCAGGTCCATCTGTTTCCCTGTTTGGGGTAATCTGTGGGGTGGAGGGAGACTGAAATTCAGAAGAAGTGAGTCTGTGAGGTTCATTCCTGTGAATCCTTCCCTTAACATTAGAGTGATGGGCAGTGATAGTGTTCATGGTGTAGGGAAAATTTTGTGCCACAGTGGATAGGTTTGCACTGTTGAGATCACATACTTCTTTGACTTTTGTTGTTGTTATTTTTTATTATTATACTTTTAAGTTCTAGGGTACATGTGCATAATGTGCAGGTTTGTTACATATGTATACATGTGCCATGTTGGTGTGCTGCACCCATTAATTTGTCATTTACATTAGGTATATCTCCTAATGCTATCCCTCCCCACTCCCCCGACCCCAACAACAAGCCCCGGTGTGTGATGCTCCCCTTCCTGTGTCCAAGTGTTCTCATTGTTCAATTCCCACCTATGAGTGAGAACATGCGGTGTTTGGTTTTTTGTTCTTGCGATAGTTTGCTGAGAATGATGGTTTCCAGCTTCATCCATGTCCCTACAAAGGACATGAACTCGTCCTTTTTTATAGCTGCATAGTATTCCATGGTGTATATGTGTTTTCTTAATCCAGTCTATCACTGATGGACATTTGGGTTGGTTCCAAGTCTTTGCTATTGTGAATAGTGCCACAATAAACATACGTGTGCATGTGTCTTTATAGCAGCATGATTTATAATCCTTTGGGTATATACCCAGTAATGGGATGGCTGGGTCAAATGGTATTTCTAGTTCTAGAACCTTAAGGAATTGCCACACTGTCTTCCACAATGGCTGAACTAGTTTACAGTCCCACCAACAGTGTAAAAGTGTTCCTATTTCTCCACATCCTCTCCAGCACCTGTTGTTTCTTGACTTTTTAATGATCGCCATTCTAACTGGTGTGAGATGGTGTCTCATTGTGGTTTTGATTTGCATTTCTCTGATGGCCAGTGATGATGAGCATTTTTTCATGTGTCTGTTGGCTGCATAAATGTCTTCTTTTGAGAAGTGTCTGTTCATATCCTTCGCCCACTTGTTGATGGGGTTGTTTTTTTCTTGTAAATTTGTTTGTGTTCTTTGTAGATTCTGGATATTAGCCCTGTGTCAGATGAGTAGATTGCAAAAATTTTCTCCCATTCTGTAGGTTGCCTCTTCACTCTGATGGTAGTTTCTTTTGCTGTGCAGAAGCTCTTTAGTTTAATTAGATCCTATTTGTCAATTTTGACTTTTGTTGCCATTGCTTTTGGTGTTTTAGACATGAAGTCCCTGCCCATGCCTATGTCCTGAATGGTATTGCCTAGGTTTTCTTCTAGGGTTTTTTATGGTTTTAGGTCTAACATTGAAGTCTCTAATCCATCTTGAATTAATTTTTGTACAAGGTGTAAGGAAGGGATCCAGTTTCAGCTTTCTACATATGGCTAGCCAGTTTTGCCAGCACCATTTATTAAATAGGGAATCCTTTCCCCATTTCTTGTTTTTGTCAGGTTTGTCAAAGATCAGATGGTTGCAGATGTGTGGTATTATTTCTGAGGGCTCAGTTCTGTTCCATTGGTCTCCATCTTTGTTTTGGTACCAGTACCATGCTGTTTTGGTTACTGTAGCCTTGTAGTATAATTTGAAGTCAGGTAGCGTGATGCTTCCAGCTTTGTTCTTTTGGCTTAGGATTGTCTTGGCAATGCGGGCTCGTTTTTGGTTCCATATGAACTTTAAAGTAGTTCTTTCCAATTCTGTGAAGAAAGTCATTGGTAGCTTGATGGGGATGACACTGTATCTATAAATTACCTTGGGCAGTATGGCCATTTTCACGATATTGATTCTTCCTATCCATGAGCATGGAATGTTCTTTCATTTGTTTGTGTCCTCTTTTATTTAGTTGAGCAGTGGTTTGTAGTTCTCCTTGAAGAGGTCCTTCACATCCCTTGTAAGTTGGATTCCTAGGTATTTTATTCTCTTTGAAGCAATTGTGAATGGGAGTTCACTCATGATTTGGCTCTCTGTTTGTCTGTTATTGGTGTATAAGAATGCTTGTGATTTTTGCACATTGATTTTGTATCCTGAGACTTTGCTGAAGTTGCTTATCAGCTTAAGGAGATTTTGGGCTGAGACGATGGGGTTTTCTAGATATACAATCGTGTCATCTGCAAACAGGGACAATTTGACTGCCTCTTTTCCTAATTGAATACCCTTTATTTCTTTCTCCTGCCTGATTGCCCTGGGCAGAACTTCCAACACTTTGTTGAATAGGAGTGGTGAAGGAGGGCATCCCTGTCTCATGCCACTTTTCAAAGAGAATGCTTCCAGTTTTTGCCCATTCAGTATGATATTGGCTGTGGGTTTGTCATAGATAGCTCTTATTATTTTGAGATATGTCCCATCTATACCTAATTTATTGAGATATTTTAGCATGAAGGGCTGTTGAATTTTGTCAAAGGCCTTTTCTGCATCTATTGAGATAATCATGTGGTTTTTGTCTTTGGTTCTGCTTATATGCTGGATTACGTTTAGTGATTTGCGTATGTTGAACCAGCCTTGCATCCCAGGGATAAGCCCACTTGATCATGGTGGATAAGCTTTTTGATGTGCTGGATTTGGTTTGCCAGGATTTTATTTTGGAGACAGTCTCACTTTATCACCCAGGATGGAGTGCAGTCGCGTGATCTCAGCTCACTGCAAACTCCGCCTCCTAGGTTCAAGCAATTCTCCTGCCTCAGCCTCCCAAGTAGCTGTGATTACAGGTATGTGCCACCACGCCTGGCTAAGTTTTGTATTTTTAGTAGACATGGGGTTTCACCATGTTAACCAGGCTGGTCTCGAACTCTGACCTTAGGTGATCCACCAACCTCGGCCTCCCAAAGTGCTGGGATTACAGGTATGAGCCAATGCACCTGGCCAGATCACACACCTCTGAGTGTCTGATTCTGATCCTGTGGGAGCTATTTTATAACTCCAAGTTGCAGTTAACTGATAGCAATGCAAAATAATTCTTGTCCATAAATATGCAAATTATGTCCTGCATGATAGAGGTCCTAATGACTCACCCTGCCCCTCACTTTGCCAGTTCTTTTACTGGCAAATTCACCTCAATATTCCTGATCTGCAAAGGTGGTGGTGCTCTGCATTCTCCTTTGAACTGCTTCCCTCATTATGAGTAAAATAAAAGCTTTCACACATGTTCATTTTATATGTGCATGAGAGTTACAATTTTACTTTTTTTTTTTTTTTTTGAGACAGAATCTCCCTCAGTCATCCAGGCTGGAGTGCAGTGGTGCAATCAAAGCGTACTGCAGTCTCCACCTCCCAGACTCAAGCAATCCTCCCACCTCAGCTTCCTGAGTAGCTGGGACCACAGGCACACACCACCACATCTGGCTAATTTTTAAATTGTATATAGAGACAGGAGTCTCACTATGTTACCCAGGCTGGTCTCAAACTCCTAGGCTCAAGACCCTCCCCTACCTCTGCCTCCCAAAGTGCTGGGATTACAGGTGTAAGCCACCACACCTGGCTGATTTTACATTGTTGAAAACTATCTTGCAACTATGGTAGGAGGGCAAAATACATTATGGTAACTGACTCAGAAGCAGAGAGCTAGCTAATTAATCTTCATTGAGGGTAACTGAAGGCAAATAAAAGCCAACTAAGCAGATACTATTTGCAGACATTTTTGCAATTTTAAGCTGCCTGCAATGTTTGTGTATAAAAGAATGAAGTTCTATGAAGTCATTTTAAGAAAAGTTCCTCTATTTTGAATTAAATGGCATTCACCAAAACATAGAATCATGGTTTCTTGAAATTAATATGATTATGGAAGATAGCCGGCTTTCATTCTGCAAGCTCAGATGGTAATTGTGTGTTTACTTGTCTGTCATCCCCACCAGGCTGTTTGCTTCAAGGCAGCAAAGAAACTGTTTTCTACCTTGTTTTATCTCCAGAACTTACCATTCTCTGGCACAGATATCAGGTGAAGGACGAAATTAAAAGGCAGCCAGAATCTGCCCCTCATCTTTGTAGGCGCCGTGACTTGATTTTGTCAGTTCCTAAGTACAATGGATATACAAAGGCAGACTTTTGTTAAACAGATTCATACAAGACGATTTATAAATCAGAATATTAATTTGTTAATTAAAAAGAGTATTCAAACCATGCAGTAGACTACGATGCTTGCCTTTCTCCCTCAGGAAAACTACATGGTGTATGTGTGTTGCAGGGGCGGTGGCTACATTACAATTAGAAGTTTGCTTAATGAGCTGGAAGTTGGTGCACAGCTAATTACTGTGGCCTCTGTCCCAGGGGCAGGTCAGCCTGTTACATCCCTCTACAGTGCTCAGGATGCTGGTGGCTAGGGTGCTCTCCTGGCTCCTCATCCCTAGAATGAGGACAGAGTGTTTCTAAGTATATGGAAAGAACTGTATAACCCTTTGGGCTTTCTGTTCTTTGATAATATTCCCTGTCTGTTAAAACATTCTTTCTTCAGAGAGAGTAACATTGATTTGGTTTTAAGCTTTACATTTAAATTCACAATCCAGTTTTAGCCCCTGTATAGTCATTGTAAATAGAATTTGGGATATTCTTGAAACTCCTTTGTTGCCCATTTGCAGATTATTCTTTGGGATGTTTTACTTGGCCAGGGGACCGATTGCATGATTGTATTAATTACGAGTCATATACAGAGGGTGACATTAATTCTATGTTTTAGAGGTCTTTGTGGATGATCGGTAAGCACTGATGGCATTATTTTGTAGGGATTGAATAGTTTGTTTCCTTCAAGAGACATTCTTCGCACTATCAGAGTCTTAATTTTTTTTTTTTTTCCTTAAGATGGAGTCTTGCTCTGTCACCCAGGCTGGAGTGCAATGGTGCAATCTCGGCTCACTGCAACCTCTGCCTCCCGGGTTCAGGTGATTCTCCTGCCTCAGCCTCCTGAGTAGCTGGGATTACAGGCATGCGCCACCATGCCTAGCTAATTTTTGTATTTTTAGTAGAGACGGGGTTTCACCATGTTGACAAGCCTGGGCTTGAACTCCTGACCTCAGGTGATCCACCCGCCGCAGCCTCCCAAAGTGCTGGGATTACAGGCATGAGCCACTGTGCCCAGCCCAGAGTCTTAATTTTTCTTACTTGGCAGTAGCCATTGTAGTCTCTAAGCTTTTGGCTATTCTGTGGAATCTTGTCAGTGGGGCTTGTAAAGTGATCACTTTCAATTCAAGAATGACTTATACAGATATAATTTTTTAAAAGTATATCAACCATATGTGGATAACAGTGATAGCAGAACTGCTTGTTTTTGTGTATCTTTTTTTTCCAACCTTTTTAAAGATTTCCCCCCCGCAACATACTGAAGTGATGAAAACATGCCTAAAGTCTTGGTTGCCAGTACCAAACAAATTCTGTAATCAAATAATAAAAGCAGCCAGAAGCCATAATATAAGACTGGAAGGAATTAAAAAAGGGAAATGTGTACCAATTAATGGTTAACAAATGCAGGCAGGGGCCAGGTGGTGGATGGCTTTGCATGCCCAGTTAATAAGGAGTACGGAGCACATCTCAAGAGCGATGGGGATGGAAGGTCTTTGAGCAGGGAAATGATGTGATCAAATGTGCACAGGAGGCCAGGCGCGGTGGCTCACGCCTGTAATCCCAGCACTTTGGGAGGCCGAGGCGGGCGGATCACCTGAGGTCAGGAGTTCGAGACCAGCCTGGCCAACATGGTAAAATCCTGTCTCTGCTAAAAATACAAAAATTAGCCAGTCGTGGTGGCAGGCATCCTGTAATCCCAGCTACACAGGAGGCTGAGGCAGGAGAATCACTTGAACCCAGGAGGTGGAGGTTGCAGTGAGCTGAGAATACGCCATTGCAGTCCAGCCTGGGGGACAAGAGTGAGACTTCGTCTCAAAAAAAAAAAAAAAAACAAAAAACAATTTGCAAACGACACAACCCCTCGCGGAGAAAATGAGGATGGAGCTGAAGGAGAAAAAGGTTGGCAGAGATGTTTACAGGAAGCCAGCAGGCTAAGACATGAGACATGGAGGCAGTGTATGGGGGAACACCAGTAAACTGAATACCAGCCACTTACTTTAAATTCACATCAGAAAAAGAAGACTCATGGGAAACACCCACTCTTATGCACTGGCCCAAGAAAGAAACTGCGAAAGGACCCTGAGTAGTAGTCAGAGGTCAAAGGACAAGAAGAGAGGACTGTGGTGGAAGCCAGGTACTAAGTGAGTTGTCAGTGGTTCAAATACCCTCAGGGGTCAAATGGCAAATGTTGAAATAGCTCTTGGACTTGGTGATGCTTTCCAAGAATGGTTTAGTGGATTTTCAGGTAAAGAAAAAGGACAAGAGTTGGTTGCACTTTGAATGAAAGGTAAGGCAATAGATGGAGGAACACAGCAGAATGGGTGATTTCGTTTGTTTTTGATTTTGAGATGGAATTGAGCTGGGAAAGGACTGTGGTAGGGAAAGGGGAAATATTCAGGAGAGAGAAAAATCAAGGGATGGGCTGGATCTCAGAGGAGATAGAGAGGGATGTGATGGCAGGTGGATTATTCTTTTGTGAGAGGGGAGGCATTTCTTTCTCTGAGAAGGAAAGTCAGGGTGGCTTGTATTTACAGGCCAATGCTCACCCAGCTGCACCATGTTTCTCTGAAAAAGGAGCACAGTTAAATGAGAAGTTAGGAGTCCAGAGAATAGGCAAAGACAATAAGAAACAGTGGATGCCTAGTGTAGCCATGGAGGGAACTGGGCATGTAATAGAATTGCCAAGGTATATAAAAGGCCCTACAAATTGGACACTATGAATTTACCAAGGCACCAAACCACCCGCATGATTTTTTTTCCAGCACTCCTCATGAGTCAGGTATAGGAATATAGGATGCCAGGGGCTGTATTGCTACATTATGGCAGATTTGCCAGGTGACAAGATGTCAGTGGATCAGGGAATTGAGAGGGCTGTCAAGATGTGACAAATGCTACAAGTGGGCAGAAAAATAATCTTGCACAGTGACATGTGAACAGAGATTGTGATCTTCTAATGAAGCAATTAGAGAAGTATTGGCAGAACAGTTAGAGCCATCTCCACTCATGGGTCGGAGGCTTCTCATGCTAACCCGACTACAGAGCTCTAGCAGAACACCATGAGGGTCGCCATGGTCTCTCCCATAACTTATCTCTTTGGGGGCGCTCTCAACTGTATAGTTTGGCAGTTCTGATGTGAACAGGTCATTTTTTCTATTTCAGCTAATTCTGGTATGAAGGGTTTTTTGTTTTGTTTCGCTCTTGTTGCCCAGGCTGGAGTGTAATGGCACAATCTCGGCTCACCACAACCTTTGCCTCCTGGGTTCAAGCAATTCTCCTGCCTCAGCCTCCTAAGTAGCTGGGATTACAGGCACGTGCCACCACACCCGACTAATTTTTATATTTTAAGTAGAGATGGGGTTTCTCCATGTTGGTCAGGCTGGTCTTGAACTCTCGACCACAGGTGATCTGCCCGCCTTGGCCTCCCAAAGTGCTCAGATTACAGGCATTAGCCACCATGCCTGGCAAGTTTTTAAGAAGTGCTTTCAACAGAAAATTAGAATAAAATTAAAAAAATTTTTTTTTTGTCTCAGAATTCACAGAAACAGAATTCATACTTTGAGCCTGTAAGAGCCTGGCTTCAGGGTTTTGGTTCTTAGAGTTTGCCTGGCAACCCTACTGAGTCCTCTTCTTTTTCTGTCCCTAGACTCAACTGCTCAGACTTCTAACTTGGTTAGTTTTAGGTGGGTCCCTCTGCATTCATATGCTGGACTTCTACCTGGAAAGGAGTTCTCCTGCAGCAGGATGTGATATGATCCCCAGTATATTAGTCAATTTTCATGCTGCTAATAAAGATATACCCGAGACTGGGTAATTCATAAAGAAAAAGACATTTAATGGACTCACAGTTCCACGTGGCTGGGGAGGTGAAAGGCATGTCTTACTTGGTGGTAGACAAGAGAGAGAATGAGAATCAAGCAAATGGGGTTTCCCCTTATAAAACCATCAGACTTATTCACTACCATGAGAACAGTATGGGGGAAACTGCCCCCCGTGATTCAATTATCTCCGACAGGGTCCTTCCCACAACACGTGGGAATTGTGAAAGCTATAATTCAAGATGAGATATGGGTGGGGACACAGCCAAACCACATCACCCAGTAATCCTTCCTGGGCTTACAAATCAGCCCACGCTTGTCTTGCAGCTATCTCTTGTGCCACGATGTTGTTCCTGGTTTAGAGTCTTTGCAATTCCTACTTTCACCTGGATCAATTTCTCTCAATCCCCTATGACTTGTCTGAGAGATGTTCCCAAATCAGCATTTTTTAAAAAAGGACTCAACCCAACGTCTTCACTTGTGGTGTGCCCCAACCTCTTAGATGGGATCTGCTCACAGCTAGTGTCCTCTCTTATCCCAGAATTGAGAAGGTCTCTTTCTGGAGCAAGTTTGAATGACATTAGATGAAAAAAGGAAGAAAACTCTGAAGACTCTTGAAATGAAAAGGAGGGGACAGGGAAGGTACAGAAGCAAAGATAACTAAAAGGGCTTCTCTGTCTGTACCTTTCATTACTGGGTGACTTCTTACCAGTGTGAGATGCTTCCTACCTCTATGGCAATAACAATGACTGATTTGAGGAAATAAAGCAATAATGACTTTGAGAGAGTAAGAACACATCTATTTACTGACTTCTGCTTGTCAGGTGTTTTTATATACATCCCATTAAATTCCTAAAATTCCTTTATTGGGTAAGGATTTTTTTTTTTTTTTTCTTAAAGGCAATCCCAAAGCTCAAGAGCTAAAGTCAGAGAGTGGAGCCCAGATTCAGAGACTGGCCTTGCTGACTCTGAAGACCCTGTTTGGTCCCCAAGACTTCATTCCGTCACCTTCACTTCTATCCCAGATCCTCTCATTTGTTTCCACGTATCTTCTGTGATTTTAGTTTGCGCAACTAAACCTATTCTGAGTTTTTATTTAAAAAGATACCCTCTCTGATTTAAGAAGAGGCATAGGAGACACAATCCTATTGGTGCCTACTGGTCACAGTTTCACAATTCAATACTGCAACGCCATCGTAATTCAAAGCATTGCTGGCTTGGTAATTCACTTCATTAACAGTCCTGCCTGCATAAAATACAAGGCAAATGGGAAATAAACAAATCCTTGGACAGTATAATACATTCAGAAAGCACAGAAGGTGATGCGTGGAGAATGAATTAGAGGGAATTGGGAAGGAAGTGGCGGGGGAGATAAATTCTATCAGGATTAAGAGGGACTTTTGTGAGCCCATGTGTACTCTGCAGGCAGTTTTTAGAAAGGATTTCTGAGAAATATTGGAGAATTACTTATGAATCTGTCTTGTTTATTTCTTTACCTTTATGCCTTCCTATCCCTCACTTCCCACATCCAATCTCCTAGGAAGTCCTGTCAGTCTTGCCTCTAGAATGGATCTCAAATCTGTCCACTTCTCTGCCTGCCGATGGACACAGGTGTGCTGAAGTCTCCAGTTACACCTGTGTCAGATCTCCTCTCTGGGGACACAGGAGGGTGGCTCATTTCTGACTCCCACGTTGCAATCAGGTGGGGCATGTGACCAGCTCTGGCTAATGATGCATTGTAATTCTGGTTCAAACATTTGGATACAGGGCAAGACCTTCCAGCATGTTCTTCTCCTGCCACATCAATTATAGAAGCAGCTTATTGAAATGAAGGTGCCACAAGACTGAAGCAATTTGGATCCCTGTATTAGTCAGAGTTCTCTAGAAAAACAGAAACAATAGAGAGATAGCAAGAGATTTATTACGAGGGATTAGCTCCCATAATTAGGGGAGGCTGAGAAGTCCCATGACCTGCCTTCTCCAAGCTGGAGCCCCAGGAAAGCCAGTGGCGTAGCTCAGTCTAAGCCCAAAGGCTGAGGAGACTTTGATGGAAACCATGGGGCCAACAGTGTAAGTCCCAGTCTGAATATGAAGGTCCTAGAACCAGGAGCACCGATGTCCAAGGGCAGGAGAAAACGACGTCCCAGCTCAAGAAGAGAGAGTGAACTCACCCTTCCTCCACTTTTTTGTTCTATCCAAGTGCTCAGCAGATTGGATGCTGCCCACCCACACTGGTGAGGGCAGCCTTTACTCAGTCTGTTGATTCAAATACTCATCTGTTCCAGAAATACCTTCACATCACACCCAGAAATCATGTTTTACCAGTTATCTGGGCACCCCTTTGCCCAATCAAGTTGACACAGAAAATGAACCATCACAAGCCCTAAACCACATGGAGCACAGCTGCCCTAGACGGGCCTCCAGACATACAGTGGGCATTTCATCGGCAAGAAACAAACCTTTGTTTTGTAAAGCAACTGAGAGCTTGACGTTGTTATCACATCATAGTCTATTCTATCCTGACAAGCAAAAGGAGTTGCCATCAGCTCTCTCCTAGAGTCCTGCAGAAACCTCCTAACTTTTTCACTTCCTCTCTTGCCCCATTTCTCCTCATTTCTCTGCAATCACCCCATGGCTCTTCAACCTTGAATCCTATTATCTTTTTATTTCCTCAGATAATCCAGGCTGCTCCCCATTTTGGAACCATTGCACATTTATTTTTTTGAGACAGAGTCTTACTCTGTCACCCAGGCTGGAGTGCAGTGGCCCGATCATGGTCACTGAGGCCTTGGACTCCTGGGCTCAAGTGATTTACCTGCCTCAGCTCCCCAAAGTGCTGGGACTAGAGGTGTGAGCCACTGGGCCTGGCCTGCACACACTTTTTCCTCTGCCTTGAACGCACTACCCACTTTGTTTGGATCATCCTTGGGTGTCTCCATCTAAATGACACTCACTTGGAGGCCTCCTCTGACCCCTCAGTGTGAGTAGAGACCTACTCTTCTGAGCCACCTACTCTGGTTCAACCATAACCAATCACGGTTCATAATTCTATATTCATTTGTTTGGTTATTTGTTGATTGATACCTTTCTCCTTATTCAGACTGCAAGCTCCATTAGGGAATAAGACCATGTCTATTTTCTCTTCCTCTCTGTCCTAAATAACCTGTGTGTGGGCCCAACCCATATTAGGCTATCAACGAATACCTTCAGGATGATGAAATAAATGCATTAACAGCAAGTTAGAGTTGCATATATATTTTTTAAGTCTAAGGAAAGAGATAGTTGATTTTTTTTTGAGCACTTAATATATGTGACGCATGTTACAAGTGGTTTACATTGTTTCCTTAGCATATATATATCATGGCAATAACACTATGAGGTAAGCACAATTATCCTTGATTTAGAAATATGGAAGTCTATGCCTGGAGTGGGTTAAATAACATGCCTATGTCCCTGAGGCTCATTAGGCAGGCTAACTTTGTAACCCATGTCCTTAACCTGACTTCAGATTTTTTTTCTTTTGTTCCACCTCCAATTTTCAAAGTTTATAAAACAAATAGCACCAGGCCAGTATATTGCAGCTATCAGAATAATCAAAGGCCAGATTTGTGTTCATTATGGAGAGAGTTAATGATCTCCTATGTCTGCATATTTTCTACCGAAGAAAACATCCTTTAAAAATAAACGCGACTGGGAGCGGTGGCTCACGCCTGTAATCCCAGCACTTTGGGAGGCCCAGGCAGGCGGATCACGAGGTCAGGAGATCGAGACCATCCTGGCTAACATGCTGAAACCCCGTCTCTACTAAAAAAATACAAAAAATTAGCCGGGCATGGTGGCAGGCGCCTGTAGTCCCACCACTCGGGAGGCTGAGGCAGGAGAATGGCGTGAACCCGGGAGGCGGAGCTTGCAGTGAGTCGAGATGCACCACTGCACTCCAGCCTGGGCGACAGAGCAACACTCCATCTAAAAAATAAATAAATAAATAAATAAAAATAAAATAAACACACAGTGATTAAAACTATTAAATAACTTGTTCATTGTAAATACTAACCTCAGAATATGAAAACCTGCCAGTATAAAGTCCTCAAAGGCCAGGCACGATGGCTCACGCCTGTAATCCCAGCACTTTGGGAGGCTGATGCGGATGGATCATCTAAGGTCGAGAGTTCCAGACCAGCCGGACCAACATGGAGAAACCCCGTCTCTACTAAAAATACAAAATTAGCTGGGCGTGATGGCAGGCGCCTATAATCCTAGCTACTCGGGAGGCTGAGGCAGGAGAATCGCTTGAACCAGGGAGGTGGAGGTTGCAGTGAGCTGAGATTGTGCCATTGCACGCCAGCCTGGGCAACAAGAGTGAAACTCCATCTCAAAAAAAAAAAAAAGGTCTTCAAAATAGAGTTCTCTTATGTTTGACTTTACAGCGTAAGTTTTTTGTTTTTTTTTTCATTTAGACCCATCAGAGGTGAAAATATTAATTTCCTTTTCCATGGAGAAATCCAATAATGGAGTAAAGATGAGACTTCATTTGGACACACTTTATCAATTAAATCTGATTTTTGTTAACAATATCTTATAAGCTCTCATTTTAAATCAATCTTTTTAAAAATCTCTTTCATGAAACAGCACATATCTGAATGAGAAGTCGCTCCAACTGACGGAGAAATGCAAAAATCTGCAATATGGCATTGAGTCTTTCTCTAACAAAACGAAAGGGTAAGTTCTACTCTTCACATTTAATTTCCTTTTACAACAAGGGTTTTATTTTCAGAATGTCTGACAGTGTCTCTGAAGTCATTTGGAATATGAGACTGTTCACTCTCAGGCTTACCATTGGGCTCTGAAGCTCCTGTTAATGAGCATGATGGACCTGGGGCCAAACAATGTGTACCAGGGTCAGACCCTGGCAGTGGGACTCAACTTATTTGTCCCTGGATCCGCATTTGTTAAAAATACCATGTAGGGGCCAGGTGCGGTGGCTCATGGCTGTAATCCCAGTGCTTGGGGAGGCAGAGGCTAGAGGATTGCTTGAGGCCAGGAGTTTCAGACCAGGCTTAGCAACATAGCAAAACCCTCATCTCTACAAAAAATAATTAAAATTGGGTGGCATGTGCCTGTAATCCCAGCTACTCAAGAGGCGGAGCCAGGAGGATCGTTTGAACCCAGGAATTCAAGGTTGCAGTGAGCTATGATGGCACCACTTGCACTCCAGCCCAGGGGACAGAGCAAGACCCTGACTCTAAAACTAATTTTTAAAATTAGCTGAATGTGGTGGCTCAGGTCTGTAGTTTCAGCTACTCAGGAGGTTGAGGAAGGAGAATTGCTTGAGCCCAGGAGTTCAAGGCTGCAGTGAGCTATGACTGCACCACTTCGTCCAGCCTGGGTGACAGACCGAAATCCTGTCTCTAAAATCAACCAAAAAACTCCTCAAAACACCATGTAGTTATACTGGCTAAACTTTTATAGGCCCCCAATCCTTTTGAGAACATGATATGTATTCTGAATGCTATCCTAGAAAAATACACACTTGTACAAAATTGTGCTTACAATTTCAGCCAGGTGAACGATTTACCCCCCAGTCTCAGCTGTGACACTCCCTCAGCTTCCCCTGCGCTGCTTACAATCCTATATTTTAGAGGGTTTGCTACATCATCTCCTTCAAAAAAAGGAAATCCAAGTGCTCCATGCCTCATCTACATGGAAGAGGCACTGGTGGCCTGAGACTCTGATTGTTCCTAGAAGGTGCCCAGTCCAATGGTGCTGGACAAAGGATGTGTGTGTGTTGGGCAGGGACACGAGGTTATGCCTGTAACCTCCCTGAAAGGAAATAACCCGAGTTTCATCTTGCTTTATGCTTGCCTGACAACATTTGAAGATGGTTCAGGATAATGTAAACGCCCAGTGGTTTCACCTTGCCCACTGCCTAGACAGAACCGATTTATCAAGACAGGTGAATTGCAATGGAGAAAGAGTAATTCACGCAGAGCTGGCTGTGTGGGAGACCGGAGTTTTATTACTCAAATCAGTCTCCCTGAGCGTTGGATCGGGGATCAGAGTTTTTAGAGATAATTTGGAGGGTAGGCGCTTGGGCAGTGGGGAGTGCTGATGGTCAGGCTGGAGCGAATCAGGGAGTTGAAATGAGTTTTTCTTGCCATCTTCTGTTCCTGGGTGGGATGGCAGAACTGGCTGAGCCAGATTATGAGTCTGGGGGGTGTCAGCTGATCCATCCAGTCTAGGGTCTGAAAAATATCTCAAGTACTGATCTTAGGTTTTACAATAGTGATGGTATCCCCAGGAGCAACATGGGGAGGTTCAGACTCTTGGAGCCAGAGTCTGCATGACCCCTAAACTGTAATTTCTAATCTTGTAGCTAATTTGTTAGTCCTGCAAAGGCAGACTGGTCCCCTGGCAGAAGGGGGTCCTTTCAGGAAAGCGCTATTATCAATTTTGTTTCAGACTCAAACCACGAACTGAATTCCTTCTCAAAGTTAGCTCGGCCTACACCCAGGAATAAACAAGGACAGCTTAAAGATTAGAAGCAAGATGTAGTCAGTTAGGTCTGATTTCTTTCATGTCATAATTTCCTCAGTTATAATTTTCAAAGATGGTTTCAGTAAGAGGTATTGCTGATTTCCACATGCCAATCCTATACAAGGAAGACCCAGTGAGCGGTCTTCCTGCCTTCATGTTTTTCACTTTCTCTTCCTAATAATAATTCTCTTTCTCTCTCTCTCACACACACACTGCTTCTTTTAATGTTAGAAATAGTGTTTATACAGCTGCCTCTAATCCATTCCTTCCCTTCCCTGGGGGTGTTGGAGTTTGATCTGGGGATAAAGAAACCAAGGTAGGTAAACCGGTTTAACTGTTTCTCCACTGAGCCTCTGGGTAAATAGACTAACGATATTTGCTTAGAGGAAGAGACACATCCATTGAGTGTCCCTAGCAGGCTGATCTCTGGCTGAGGTCCTGCTTAAAGTTAATGGAATCCAGGATCCAGGAGGCAGGACTGCCTGGAGAATGGCTCAAAGGCTGTGGAACTCCCTGGGTCTAAAAGAGAAACCGTTTAACAATTTAAAGTTTCCTGCTGTGTGAGGAAGCCCACTGACCTCACCTAGAAACCTCACCTACGATCCTGGGCCATGTGCAGTGTGGGAAGACAGGACTGGGGTGTCCACCCTTGATGTCCCAAGCCTGTCTCTGCTTTGTCTGAGTCTGTTGACATAACCAGAAATTATGTTTTACCAGCTATCTGGGCATGCCTGAGCCCAGTCAGGTCGACACAGAAAATGAACCATTGAAAGCCTTAAACCACACACAGCACAGCTGTCCTAGACGGCCCTCCAGATATACAGTGGGCATTTCATGGGCAAGAAACAAACCTTTGTTTTGTAAAGCAATTGAGAGCTTGGCGTTGTTATCATATCATAGTCTATTCTATCCTGACAAGTAAAAGGAGTTGCAATCTCTCTCCTAGAGTTCAGCAGAAATCTCTTAACTTTTTCACTTCACCTCTAGCCCCATTTCCCCTCATTTCTCTGCAGATCTTTGAAATTATTAGGAAAGCTTGATACTGGCTAAGATCTCTGATTTGGGTTAATCGATGTGACAGCAGTCCAGTCCTGTATGTTAGCTCCGTTTCTCACAGAAGGATAGCCCTATGAAAATCCTAGTTTTCTGGGCCCGGCGCGGTGGCTCACACCTGTAATCCTAGCACTTTGGGAGGCTGAGGCGGGCAGATCACCCGAGGTGGGGAGTTCGAGACCAGCCAGACCAACATGGAGAACCCCCCCCCCCCCGCCCCACCGCCCCGACTAAAAACACAAAATGAGCTGGGTGTGGTGGCGCATGCCTGTAATCCCAGCTACTCGGGAGACTGAGGCTGGAGAATCTCTTGAACCCGGGAGGCAGAGGTTGTGGTGAGCCAAGATCACGCCACTGCACTCCAGCCCGGGTGACGAGAGCGAAACTCCGTCTCAAAAAAAAAAAAAAATTATTGTTTTCTTTTCCTTAAATTCCAACTAGCGGGCCTTAAGCTTGCAAGGGGAATCCACGGTGCTGTGCGTCTTCCACTGGGCCCACTCAATCCACTTTCACCCTCATAGCTTTTCACCCTCCAGTTTCATCTCTGCCTGACTTTTCCCAGGGAGGCTGACGTACGTGGAACTCACCAATAGGTTCTGGGCTCTTTTGCCATCCGGCTTTTCTTTGGAGCAAGGAGGAGCATGAAAAAGAGATCAGAAAGAGGGAGGTGAAAGACCATCCCCAGGGCCTAGAAGCTGGCGGAGGCCTGAATAACTCCTCCCTTCTCAGGCCCAGTCCCAAGGCGCAAGGCGGCTTACGTCATCAGCGTGCGTCAGCAAGATAGCAGAAGCGGGGAGAGAGCTGTTCTGAAGACCCAGAGAGAGGCCTACCGGGTATCACGTAGCAGTAGATACACAGACTGAAACACTTCCTGTTTACGGGAGACTGTAAAACCCCTGCCCGTCCTCATTTGGGGCTGATGCCATTTTAGGCCTCGGCCTGAAATGGCCTGAAGGTCTGCCTTCAGGCATTCATTAAAACTGCCTGTTGCTCCACACTGCCTTGTGTTGTTTGTTGGCGTTCTCTCAGGGTTCGAACCAATACAAGAGCCTTGCAGGAGGAAGGAGAAGAAACTCTGTGTTTGATGTCGTTGCAGGTTAACTACATGCTTTTCTTTCTTTTTTCTTGGAGACAGTCTCACCGTCACCCAGGCTGGAGTGCAGTGGTGCGATGTCGACTCACTGCAACCTCCACCTCCCGGGTTCAAGTGATTCTCCTGCCTCAGTCTCCCCAGTAGCTGGGACTACAGGCGCGTGCCACCACGCCCGGCTAATTTTTGTGTTATTAGTAGAGGCAGGGTTTCACCATATTGGCCAGGCTCCTGACCTTGTGATCGAGCTCCTGACCTTGTGATCGAGCTCCTGACCTTGTGATCGAACTCCTGACCTTGTGATCTGCCCGACTCAGCCTCCCAAAGTGCTGGGATTACAGGTGCGAGCCACCGCGCCCGGCCTGTGTGTATGTGTGTGTGTGTGTGTGTGTGTGTGACAGTCTCACTCCGTCGCCGAGACTGGAGTGCAGTGGCACGAACACAGCTCACTGCAGCCTTGACCTGCTGTATTCAAGCGATCCTCCTGCCTCAGCTTCCTGAATAGCCAGGAAGACAGGTGCGTGCCACCATGGCTGGCTAATTTCTATTTTTTGTAGAGATGGGGTCTTTCTTTGTTGCCCAGGTTGGTCTCAAAACCCTGGGTGCAAGTGATCCTCCTGCCTTGGCCTCCCAAAGTGTTGTGTTTACAGGCACTTGAACCCAGAAAATCTGAGACAGGTCTCAGTTAATTTAGAAAGTTTATTTTGCCAAGGTTGAGAATGCGCCCGTGACACAGCCTCAGGAAGTCCTGACAACATTTCCCCTAAGTAGCTGGGGCACAGCCTGGTTTTATACATTTTAGGGAGGTATGAGACCTCTGTCAGGCTTCTGAGCCCAAGCCTGCACTTATACATCCAGATGGCCTGAGGCAACTGAAGAACCACAAAAAGAAGTGAAAATAGCCAGTTCCTACCTTTACTGATGACATTACCTTGTGACATTCCTTCTCCTGGACAATATGTCTCCAGCTCTCCCCACCAAGCACCTTGTGACCCCTGCCCCCACCTGCAAGAGAATAACCCCCTTTAACTGTCATTTTCCACTACCTACCTAAATCCTATAAAACTGCCCCCACCCCTATCTCCCTTTGCTGACTCCTTTTTCCGACTCACTCCGCCTGCACCCAGGCGATTAAAAAGCTTTATTGCTCACACAAAGCCTGTTTGGTGGTCTCTTCACACAGACACCGTGACAACATCAATCATTATATGTAAGAAGTAATTGGTTTAGTCTGGAAAGGGGGTGACAACTTGAAGCAAAGGCAGGAAGACTCGAAGTGTGGGGGGAACTTCCAGGTCACAAATAGGTGAGACACAAATGGTTGCATTCTTTTGAGTTTCTGATGAGCTTTTCGAAGGAAGGCCATCAGATACGCATCTATCTTAGTGAGGGGAGGGATAACTTGGAATAGAATGGGAGGCAGGTTTGCCCTGAGCAGTTTCCAGCTGGAGTTTCCCTTAGTGATTTTGGAGGCCCAAGATATTTTCCTTTCACATTTCACCCTTTTTCTTTTTTAAAATCTTTTGGAGAAATGATTTTACAAAAAAACAAACAAACAAACAAAAAACAAAACAGACTCTCTGGTTTCAGATTTCATCTGATCTTTCATTGCTAGGATGGTTTACTCCTAGATGGGTAGGTCCCGAAAGTTCATTTTAGCAGGTTGTGAAGTCTCCTGTCCTGTGAAAAGAAAATTAGGGGGAGGAAGGGGGAAAAAGCTACAAACAAAAGAACAATCCTGGAAAAATTGATATAGGCCAATTACTCGGAAGTCCATACATTAGTAAGTAGGTATGAAAGTAGCTTATGTATGTAAATTGGTTGCTGTTATTTTCTTCTTAAGTTTAAATTGTCTGGCTTCAGTTCTCATGGTTTGAAGAAAGCACAGCTTAGATTTTAGTGACTCCAAATTAGGAAAACTGGAAAAAAAAATGAAAACATCATTTTGAAGACTTGCAGCCAAGAAAAATTAGAATTTGGTCCAAACTGTAGAAAATAATAAAAATGGAAAAGAAAACATTAGGCAAGACTAGAATTTAACACGTGTACTATCGTTTTGAAACACAATTTTTTTCTCTCTCCAGTTTCCCATGTTATTAAAGACAAATCATGGTAGCACTGGTTTGCTTATTATACTTGGCCTAATTATTTGTATATAGTGCAGCATGAATAATTATTTTTTACATAGTTTTTTAAATTGGCTTTGATGGAACTCTGTTCCATAGAAGCAATCTCAGATAAGACTTTTTAAAAGCCAAGCCCAGTCATGGATTTGTGCCATCAAATACTTACGAGTTTCGTGAATTTCCTCTCGAGGTTCCAAGTTTATCCTGGGGGTACTGTGCCTGTCAGAAAGTGACATTCTGTTTTTACCACAGGTCAGAAACCCTGTACAGGGACTGTGTACACAAAATTTGAGGCCAGTTTTTCCAAGGGCTTTATTGGCTCCGTAAGTCAAGTTTGATTCTTTAAAGGAAAGCACATCATTCCAGTCAAAGCCTTGGTAAAATAACCAGTTTCTCCAATTGTGTCCTGTCACAAATGAAAACAGATTCCTATTGCACTTACGCAAATAACTGTATTGCCATAAGTTAAGAATATACACAAATAGTTTCCAAATTCCAGAGAAATCAGTTAGAAACAAATATGCTCCAAATTTTGTTCATGGGAGTATACTAAATTGTTACAAGCTGTCAGTAGCTCAAAAGAAATGTTTTAAGAGTCTGAAAAACAAAACAAAGGATCAGTAAACATTTTAAGCAAAAAGTCAAAAGGATTGGTTTAGTCCATGCAGTTAATTCCTGTGTTTTGCTTGATACTCATGAATATTTTAGCTCTCCATGAGTTCTGAAAGTTTTTCCTGCATTCTGATATCACAATCTACAAAGTTATTAGAAACGTGCATTTAAAAGCACCTGTTGAAGTTTTATAGCTGATTATAAAACCACCCTCTAAAGAGGAACAAAACAAGACAACAATTGTCCATGGATGAAAAAGAAGTTTTAAGACAGCCATAGTCAAAAAACACAATTGACAAGAAAATTTATCTCTGTGGCACACAATGATTATAACAATTATGATTATTACTGATAAGGTACACTAAGGTATATCAGAATTACAGGAGTTTCCCATAATTTTGGAACACATATCAATAACATATTTATACAAATACAGCCCTAAGAAAACTAAATACCACTTTATATTTGACAATGCTTCCTGTATAATTTTTATACCAAATAAGCCAAATTATGTCATTTTTTGGACTTTAGGGAACCTAATGTCTTAAAGGATTAATTAGATTAGAAAAAGACATAATTGATAATTTGATTTTAGAAAGTTTGTCATATATCAAAGGTTTAAAACACTTGATATTACAAAATAGGATTACAGGTCATTGTGAAGTCATTTATTTAACCAAAGTGATAATTCAAGTATTAAAAAAAAAAAGTGAAAACCTTCATTCTTTGTGAGAAGAGACTTAATTTTCTAAACAAGAAGCCCTAATAAAAACAGCATGAAGCCAATTACATTTGTTCAAAATTTTGTAAACAGTCTATAAAATTTAATCTTCATTATAAAATATAACTTCCACAAGCCTTTTATAACCTTTATAACCTTTATTAAGGAGTTGGTTAATGCTTCTAGAAAATCTTGTTAATCTGACACAGGGATCCGTATACTAGTTTTGCATCAGTGTGCCTTTGACACTAATGGTTAATTTATAGAGAAACTAAACTTATTTTAACTTTCAAAATCGGCCCTTACGATCTTATGGGCCCACCTCTTTCACAGTAGTCCCTGGGCCTTGAGGTGTTGAATAGCTTTAATTTCTTGCCCTGTATCTCAGGCATGCAGTTTATTTTGATTGGCATCTTGTACGGGGCCTGAAGATAAGGCTTTAATTGCTATCAGTGTTTAAGATTTAGCAGGACTTGATGTCCTTTTCAAACCCAGGAGTTAAAGCCCTGTAACTCAATGTTAACAAGGACTTTAAAAGCATATACAGGGGCCAGGTGCGGTGGCTCACGCCTGTAATCCCAGCACTTTGGGAGGCTGAGGCCGGCAGATCACCTGAGGTCAGGAGTTTAAAACCAGCCTGGCCAACATGGTGAAACCCTGTCTCCACTAAAAATACAAAAATTAGCCAGAAATGGTGGCGGAGACCTGTAGTCCCAGCTACTCTGGAGGCCGAGGCAGGAGAACTGCTTGAACCTGGGAGGAGGAAGTTGCAGTGAGCCAAAATTGTACCAATGCATTCCAGCCTGGGTGATAAGAGCAAGAAGATACATGGATGTAATAAACTTAATTAAAAAAAAAATTATCACTGAAACTTCTTTTATTGGAAAATTCCCAAATATGAAATATCTATTATTTAATTTAATACAACTTTATATTCTAAATTATGACCAGTTTGTCTACAAGTATTTATCCCATTACATTTACGTAATTATTTATTTTAATAGTTTACCTAGATTATTTATGAAAACTGTGATAGTCATGATTTAAAGTTATGAAACCACCATTGCAAAATTATAACTGAGACCGTGAAAAAATTTTGACTTGACTCCATCTTGCTGTTAACCTTCAAGCTGTCCTTGTTCATTCCTGAACACAGGCCAAGCTAATTTTGGGAAAAACTTAGTTTATAGTTTAGCTTTGAAACAAAGACGATAACAGTTCTTTCCCAAAACAAACCTCTTTATTGTCTGTGGACTAGACTGCCTAAAGCCACAGGATTAGAAGTTATGATAATCTTACTAAATTTGAGATACAGCTATTTTCATTAAACGCATATCAATGTCTCACTTATTAAAAATTACACAAGCAAAGATCATTCTGTTTGGGGCTGGGTTTACAGTTTTGTAACCCATGCCAAATTTTGACACCTCATAGTATTTGGCAAGGATAAGTATGAAACTGCTTGATTAATAAATGCAAACAAAAATGTGTGCTGGCAATTCTTAAGACACTTATAATATTACTTTACCAATAATTTTAAAGCCAGCTTATTTATTAAAGATTTTACTTAAGTTATATAACCTTTAAAAGCATGTGACTAGTCTTTTTTGGTATTTGATTTAAGCACTTTTTTTTAAAGCCAATTAATTAGAGCTCTTTTGTGTATTTTTACTAGTGAAACATTGTGTACACAACACCTAAAAACATATAAAGACGTATTAGGCATGCCGATGGAGGTACATTTTATAGATTTATAACCCCACCCCCTTTTTCCTATTATAGACTTTCAGATTCTTGATAATGTGTTTTACAACCCTAGGTAGTTGTCAGCTAAATAGCCTTAAGTTTGCACATTAAAGGAAACAACTCAGATGAAAATCAAATAGCAAAATTTACATCATAAGGTATAGAGAGAATAAGTCTGGTGGTACTAGAGGGAGACACTTTCATTTTTATTTGAGTCAAATTAAACTACACTCTTCCTTAAAAACCCGAGTAAACTCTGTTTCAATAACTATGTTAGTCAAACAATCAGGTGACGACAGAACTCGTTCAACTGAGAAGATAAAGAAAAAAAAAAACTTTTGCTCAAAAAAAGACAAAATCTTAGGAGAGAAAAACAAAAAAAACCCCTCAAAACATGAAGGCCTTTCAAATACAAACACGTACACATACACACAAACACACACACACACGCACAAACACACATATACACATATGCATACACACAAACGTGTACACATACAAACACATACACACAAACACACAAACGTACACATACAAACACACAAACGTACACATACATTCACACAAACATGTACACATACACACAAACATGAACACATACACACAAACATGAACACATACACACACACATCTTGGCTGTTAGCCTTTTCATTAAGCTGACTTTTAATCATGGAGCTCCTTACACAAATTTGTTTTTTAAATCTTATTACCATATTTCAGCTAGGACAAAATGCTGCTATTTCAGAAGTACAGCCATTGCTCTTTCAGTTTGGTCTGGCTGGCAAAAAGGTGGCCTTGTTATGTAAATAAAGCCCCTTTTGTAGTTAAAATTAAAAATCTTTTTTTTCCTTTTGATGGCCATTTTCCTCCCACTTCAGAGACCCTGTTCCCCATAATTTAGGGTTCCCCTTCAGATTTGACCAAGACAGAAAGAAAAAACAAAACCATTAAGCAAAACTAACAATGATCACACAAATTATATGATTTCTGAGTGCTGTAAGTGTAAGCAGACATTAACACCAGCTGGTTGTTAAATACTAACTTTTGTTGTTTAAAATAATTGGCAAGATGGAATCCCAAACCAGTTTCTTACTTAGTCATGGGTCTCAAGCTGTAGACTGCTCTCTACCATGCTAGAAGCAGGAAAAAAACAAACAAAACAAAACTTATCTTCCCTGTTGGAAGTGAGCTCAAGGTCCATAAAGGAGGTACCTGTCTTCCATCGACATGGAAGCAGGAAAACTTGCCTTCCTGTTGGAAGCAAGTAAAGTCCCCCCAAAAAGGAGTTGTACAGAAAAATAAACTTTAGATCTCAACCAAATTTTGGGAGATCAGGGATTCTCTGGAGGGTGCTCTCAGACCTCAGCAAATTGTCCTATTGGTTTGAGCTATAAAGTTAGCTCATGCTGGTACTAGGCACCAAAAGGAGATTTGTCAAAGGTGAGGGGCATCTCCACTCAGAATCCCTTCATGGTTACCAAAATGTGAACCCAGAAAATCAGAGACAGATCTCAGTTAATTTAGAAAGTTTTTATTTTGCCACGGTTGAGGACACACCTGTTACTCAGCCTCAGGACATCCTGATGACACGTGCCCAAGGTGGTCGGGCATAGCTTGGTTTTATACATTTTAGGGAGACATGAGACATCAATCAATATAAGAAGTACATTGATTCGGTCTGGAAAGGTGGGGCAGCTTGAAGCAAAGGCAGGAAGCCTCCAAGCAGGGAGGGAACTTCCAGGTCGCAGATAGGTGAGAGACAAACGGTTGCATTCTTTTGAGTTTCTGATTAGTCTTTCCAATGGAGGCAATCAGATATGCATCTATCTTAATGAGCAGAGGGATAACTTTGAATAGAATGGGAAGCAGGTTTGCCCTAAGCAGTTCCCAGCTTGAGTTTTCCTTAGTGATTTTGGGGGCCCAAGATATTTTCCTTTCACAGGTGTGACCCGACACTCCTGGCCTACATCCTTGACTGAAAGAAGTGCTGCATCACGGAACAAACGCTAAGGTGATTATTAGGTCTCTCACCCTCTCCTTTTCTCATTCTTACTCTTTCTCTCTCACTTTCACTCTAGCTTTCCCTCTCTCTGCCTCTCTCCCATTCCCTCCACTGGACCCTTGAACTTAGGGATAAGCTGTTAATAGTCCCCTACTATTGTACCTGTATTTCTCTACAAGTTGCCTAGCTAGATCTTTGGGAAAAGTCCCTTCGGTTTTTTTTGTTTTTGTTTTTTTTTTGAGACAGAGTCTCACTCTTGTCACCCAGGCTGGAGTGCAGTGGTGCGATCTCAGCTCACTGCAACCACTGCCTCCCGGGTTCAAGCGATTCTTCTGCCTCAGCCTCCCCAGTAGCTGGGACTACAGGCGCCTGCCACCACGCCCAGCTAATTTTTTGTATTTTTAGTAGTAACGGGGTTTCACCATGTTAGCCAGGATGGTCTTGATCTCCTGACCTCATGATCCGCCCGCCTTGACCTCCCAAAGTGTTGGGATTACAGGTGTGAGCCACCGTGCCTGGCTGAAAAGTCCCTCCTTTAATCCCTTCTTAAATTCCCTCATTGGAGCAGGCCATCATTCCTGCCAGGACTCTAGGTTTCTATAGACTGGTTGGAACACTTTTGCAAATGCTTCTCCTCTTTCATGATAAAGTCACTGATTTTGGGGGTGGACTTAAAGTAGTTCACGCATTGGAGATGCACTACTTGCCGGTTTTGATGTTGAAGTTGTTGTTTTGTTTGTTGTTTGTTGGGTATGCGGGTGTTACACGAGGATCTTTATGAAGCTTTTCCTGAGGGACTTGAGTTCCAAACCTTTTGTGGCACCCTCCACACATCAGACATAGACAAAATGATGCAGGAAAAGTAGAATGGGAAAATTGGCCTTTGCTCCATCGGACCCTGTGGAAAGCTGGCTATATTCCTTGACAGATGTGCAAATTAGTGAGTAAAACTTGCCTTTGACTCTCTTCAGTGGTCTCTGACATTATCCGTTTTTGCTTTCCAAAGTGACAAAAGTTCTCAACTTGAGAGTGACAAATAGCTGTGTGTTTTTGCAAAACACCTGAGTGAGCGAGGATGAAAATTCTCTAATCATGGAAGACATCTTTTTCAAGGCAGAGAATTTGACAACTCTTTGATGTGCATCAACAAAAGTGGTTAACTGCGGTATGCTAATGAGAATGCCGGGTGCCCATACCCCCATGTTTGCCTTCTCACTCCTTCTCTGTTGTTTTGTTTTTGGTGCTAAGACCTTTTCTCAGCTATTCTTTAAGGGGATGCCTTTCCATTAAACACACGCAATTTTCAGCTGGCTTATATAATTAGCCTGCACTGGTATTCTGTTTGGCAAAGGTCTAGAGAGAGCAGGCATGAATTGCCTGTTGTTATAAAAGTGTTGTTTTGCACACAGGAGACTAATTTTTCGGTTGTATTGTCTATGGTCAGGGGTTGTGTGTTCCATAATCAGTGCTATTACAGACTTAGGGAGCACAACGGGGAAAGCCATTCAGTGTATGGCGATAAAAAAGTAATTTCGTTTTCTTAGAAATAATTATCTGGCCCTATTTTTGTCATGGTCTGTTAAAGACTTAGAATTTTCTCTTTCTTCAGCCTATCTGTCCCTTTCACATTGCTAAAATAGGATTTAGAAAGATGGAGTTATAGTGGGAGGGAAAAGTGCTCTTTTTCTCCCCTAGTCTTAACTATATTTTTTGAATAAATGAAAATTAGGCAGTTGCCATTAGGAGAACAAGTGGGATAGGGTCTTTTGTGCCATAATTCTTTATTCTGTGTTTCAGATTTTGAGCTCCAAAATGAATGGGACAATGTCTTGTTCACATGCCTATCCCCTGGTGCCAATCACAAGGGTGCAGCACATAGCAGTTGCTCAATTAATTTTTGTTGAATAAACAAATAATTAAATGAATGTTTTTCTTAGGTTTTCAAAGCATTTTTATACCATCTCTGTTAGGCGTGTCCATGTGAAGAGACCACCAAACAGGCTTTGTGTGAACAATAAAGCTTTTTAATCACCTGGGTGGAGGCAGACCAAGTCCGAAAAGGGAGTCAGCAAAGGGAGAGAGGGGTGGGGCAGTTTTATAGGATTTGGGTAGGTAGTGGAAAATGACAGTTAAAGGGGTTTTTTCTCTTGCAGGCAGGGGCAGGTCATAAGGTGCTCAGTGGGGAGCTCCTGAGATTCACTGTCCAGGAGAAGGAATGTCACAAGGTCAACTGGTTAATTAGGGTGGGGCAGGAACAAATCATGATGGTGGAATGTCATCAGTAAAGGCAGGAATTGGCTATTTTCACTTCTTTTGTGGTTCTTCAGTTGCTTCAGGCCATCTCAATGTATACCTGCAGGTCACAGGGGATATGATGGCTTAGCTTGGGCTCAGAGGCTTGACAAACTCTAATTCCTAGATGTAAAAAAAATTATAAATCTATAAACCAATACTTTTTTGAAACCTATTTTAACTTCTTTGACTCTTTCTCTTACTTTGAGTTTGTACTTTTCTGTTTTTTTTCTACCCCATCCTCTTCCCTTGAATATTTCTCTGCCTTTCTGCAGCTCTATTCTTTCTAGTAGGTTATCTCCCAGATAAAATATTATACTGTATTAAAAATGCTTTATAGCCATCTTATCACTGCTAGTTCGCTCATTTTTTAGTATGACAAACTTATTACTTGTAATCTTTCTTGCCTGTATTTTTAGAAAAATGTCTCTATGGATATCCAAGCTGTCCATCTTATTCCTCATTGCCTCAGATAAATGAAATGATTTTTCTAAGAGCAGATACTTAGAGGTGCTGACCCAGGAAATCAACTTATTTCCTTTTCTTGGGTTTTTCTGCTTCTGTTGTTTTGCCTTCTCTTTTTTATGCTTTTCTTTCATTTCCCCCAAGAGTCCTGGCTCCCAAGAAAATGGACCATTAGGTTTGTTCAGTTTCTACCATTTGGTTAGAGTAGACACACTGCTCTAATAAAAGCTCTCGGAAGTCTGAGCACAAAATTTTACTCTCTCTCGCACAGTGTAAAATATTCCTTCTTTATCAGGCAACGCTCCTGGGTGGCTTTTCCCCCAGATGTTGATTCAGGGATACTGGTTCCTTCCATCTTAAGATCAAGCCATTTTCAACCATCTTGCTGCTCAAAGAGTAGCTACTAATAAAGAGAAAGCGGATACTGCACGCAGCCTGCAGGGGGCGCACATCACTCCCATTCTCTGCCATCTGGGACTGACCCTTCTAGATGTTAGAGACATGTTGGGGGTTTTGACTAATAAAATGCAAGTGGCACTGATGTGCGGTGGGTGTTTGGGAATGGAGTGTCTGGCTGGGCAGCTGCTTGTAGCATCAAGTGTGTACTACAGAAAGGGAGCACCAATCAGTGGTAATCCGCCAGGCGTCTCTGCCACGTATGTATTAAATAGCTCTACCATTCTGATCATTCTATTGATTATAGGCCTCTAGGGTGTCTCTTAAAGGTGGGAAGAAACACTTTTTTTTAAACAACAGCAATCTTGTACATCTTCTGAGCACCGGAGCATTTAAATAGATCCTCTAGTAAGGGACTGAGATGTCTTCTAAGGAACAGCATGTAAGCCACTGCCCTGTAACTTTCTGCACAATTGCTAGGGCATGCATGGTGGGCTCACTTGTATTCAGATAGCTTTCTGGGGTAAAATACAAATGCTCAGAATCAAGATTTGGAACATCTGCCTTGCACAGACTAAGTGCGGCTTACGCCATAGGTGAGTGTCTATGTTTGATGAGCTATTTCATGCTGTACCACTTAAAATCACTGAGAACAATTGAATTTTCTGAAAGATATGTTCCTCATGGGGTGGCATAAAGTTGCTACTCGGGAGGCACCGTTTTGCAGGGTGAAATGCAAAGTGAACTGAAGACTTGCCCTAAGTGTTCTTCACTCTATTATCCTGGAGAGAACAACATGACCTGATTGCTGCTTGAAAAGAAAAGGCATAAATTATGGCCGATCAAACTTCAAAAAGCCCAAGTGTGAGCATATCACTTGAAAGCCTGCTAACTATGCAAGTAGTCCTAAGTTTCAAGTTGTCCATCAGGAAGAAAGATTTTTGGTCATAGACAAGATTTTCTTGGCCTAGAATGATGTATGACTTGTTTCCATTCTACTTTAAATCTATGGTGCTTTGATTGCTTTTTAAAGCGATGTGTACATTTTTGTCTTTCTACTCACCTCTGACCTTTTAACTTGCCTTTTCTCATCAGTTTTTAAGAGTTCCAGAGCTGGGCATGGTGGCTCACACCTGTAATTCCATTGCTTTCGGAGGCTAAGGCTGGAGGATCGCTTGAGGCCAGGAGGTTGAGGCTGCAGTGAGCTATGATCACAACCCTGCACTCCAGCCTGGGTGACAGAGTGAGACCCTGTCTCAAAATATATATATATGAAACTGGAAAAAAAGAAGAGTTATAGATCAGAAAATATTACATCCACACAAAACAGCCATTCATACCAACACACTACATTCTTAGTATTTTGGGAAATTCTTCTTGGTAATCAAAGCAAAGGCTGTGTTTGCTGATATAAAATTTCAAGTTGGGAGGGCAGTTGAGCTAAATATATATATATATATTTATTATTTATTTATTTATTTATTTATTTATTTATTTTTGAGACAGAGCCTCATTCTGTCACCCAGGCTAGAGTGCAGTGGTACGATCTCCGCTCACTGCAACCTCTGCCTCCTAGTTTCAAGTGATTCTCCTACCTCCGCCTCCCAAGAAGCTGGTGCCCGCCACCATGCCTGGCTAATTTTTGTATTTTTAGTAGAGATGGGGTTTCACCATGTTGGCCAGGCTGCTCTCGAACTCCTGACCTCAGATGATCCACCCGCCTTGGCCTCCCAAAGTGCTGGGAGGCCTATAATCATAGGCATGAGCCACCACACCCTGCAGAGGTAATAATATTGAGAGTATGATAGAAGCCTCTGAAAATGTTTGCATTTAAACAAAAGTTATGTCAAATTTATTAAAAGGTGGTTTAACAATCATTCTGTACTTCAAAGAGTACATGAAAAACAACTACAGTCTAAGAGTTTGAAAGCATAGTCTCTCTTAAATTATTTGAATTCGTATATTGTTTGTTTCAATTATGAGCATGTATGACTTTTTTTTTTAACTCCCTCAGTTTAAAGATAAAAAAATGGGATTATGATTTGTTCAAAGTCACGCAATCTGTTAGTGGGAGGATGAGAAATAGACTACTTTTCCCGTGTGTGTGTGTGTGTGTGTGTGTGTGTGTGTGTGTGTGTGTGGTGGTTGTTGATGTTAAAAGATAACTAGCATAATCCTAATCTGAATTCCTTAATTAACACTTGGTAAGATTTCCTTACTATCATTTTTACTATGCTGAAGATTGGAATCATGTATTATTTTATTATAAGTATTTGTCACTGGAAACAAAACTGAATTTTCTCTCAGAGAAAAATGGAAACACTGGCTTGCTAGACTACAATGTTGATTACGCATTCATATCAGAAGGCTTCCTCATAGTTCCTCAAATAACTAGTCATTTGAATGAAGCCTTTTTGGGAAGACCATGGTAATAAAAATAATCAAATTTATTTAAAGTCATTGAGAAATAATTGGAATTATTTTCAATTTTAAAAGTGGCACCGGGAAAGATAGCAAATCTGTTGCTGTTTTCAATGCCTTCAAATATAACAGGCAATGTTAAAGGTATAGTTTATTTGCTATTTGTGGTAGCCAGAGCTGCAAGGTGACTGTCATCCAAAAGACCATCCGAACGGCTAAAATAGTAGAAAGGAGGGCTTTATTGGCAGTATCAGTCTGCAAACTGGGAAGAGAGTCTCCAGCGTGGACCATAGGTGCTCTCTCTTTAAAGAGAGGAAGAGCAGGTTGGGTTTTATGCCTCGCAGGGTCTGTATTACATGGTAAAGTCAAACATATTCAGCAGGTTTTGGGGAAAAGTTATGCATATTTATAAGGGGGAGTCAAATGCATGTGCTATATATGTAACATACATCCCATATTCACTTTGGGGTGGGTTTTAGGATTTAAATGAGGTGGAATTTGGCTCCTTTATGTCAAAAGGTGAACTATAGGACACAAAGACAGTTTGTGCACAGCCTCTATAAGCTGATGAAATTGGTGTAAGATCTGCTGGAGTTGCTTGTCAGAAAACAATGTTTGTAAGGCTGTCCTCCGTCCAATCAGAGGTGAGGTTATCTGGGTTATAAATCAGCCTGATAAATTGCCTGATAGCTCCTGTTAGGGAGTTTAGAAAGAGTGTGTTTTTTCTTGCAGCCGTGGGAATTTATGGAGTTGCCATGCTGGATGCCCTGTACCCTCGATCTGTAGGTAACTTTTGTTTTCCTAACCTTGTGATCCTTCATAGTTCATAAAAGGGCATCTATTTTGGTCTCTCAGATCACAGCCTTAAAGATCCTCTCTTCCTGGTATTTATACACTTCTATAGTCCCTGTCAGCCTAAAGAGGGCTGCCCCATGAAACCAATAGAATATTGCAGAAATAATGTGTGACTTTCAAGAAAGGTCATAAGAGACTTTGTGAGTTCTGTGCAATAATGAATGTTTACTGTTATTTTAAGCCACTAAGTTTTGGAGTAATTTGTTACATAGTCATGGGTAACTAACCCATTACTCAGTTCATAATCCTTTACATTATTATATTTTTGTCATAATGACGATAATTATTATTACTGTAATAATCAATAGTGATAGTCACAATTACCATTTCTGTGGGCCGACTCTCTGCCAGGTAATTTAAATGTATGTATAGTTCTTGCGATATTTCTTCAGAGTAGGTTTTACTATTTTAATTTTACAAGTGAGACAAATGAGCTCTGAGGTTGGCTTGCAGAACATCAGCCAGTTACAAATAGCAGAGCTGGGATTTGGATAAAATTCTAACTATTCTATTTCCACTACTCCGAGGCACCACTCTTAATGACAGCAGAATTTTAAGTCAGAAATTTGAAAACGGAAAGCATTGGATTTTGATTTTATAATGTGAAGCTATTCAAAAGTGATCCAGCTCCAAAATAGTAACACACGTTCCTCACTTTTTGTTACTTATTTTACACAAGCGTCCATGATAGAAATATACTTAGATAGCATTATCTTACGTAGCAGTACCCTACTTGAAGCTCGGGTATCAGTATGGTTTCTCTTGGTAAGATCCTGGCTGATGGCTAATTATTGTCATTGTTCAAAATTGATGTCTGAAAGCTTTGGACATTTTTAAGTTCTAGTCGTACATTAAATATTAATTTCAGAAATACAAAGCAACTACTAAGTGCCCAATACCATGGCAAGCATAGGAAGAGTTATTTTCGACCTGGAGAGTGCATTAGACTCACTGGTGAGCTTTTTCAAAGTATACATGGTTGAGAATGGATTTAGAACTCTTGTATATAAGGAGCATGACAATAAATATATTATTTCTATTTCTTAGCAGTCCACAGTATATTAAGAGAGTTGTACATTTAAACAAATATTTATCATACAGTGGCTTTCCCTTCTCATTTTTTACTTTCTTTCTTTTTTTTTTTTTTTTTTTTAATGGAGTCTTGCTCTGTCACCCAGGCTGGAGTGCAATGGCATGACCTTGGCTCACTGCAACCCCTGCCTCCTGGGTTCAAGCGATTCTCCTGTCGCAACCTCCCAAGTAACTGGGATTATAGGCGTGCACCACCACGCCCTGCTAACTTTTTGTATTTTTAGTCGAGAAGGGGTTTCACCATGTTGGCTAGGCTGGTGTCAAACTCCTGATCTCAGGTCATCCTCCCACCTCTCCCTTCCAAGGTGTTGAGATTACAGGAATGAGCCAGTGTGCCCAGGCCCTTCTCATTCTTCACTGTAGATTCCTTCTCACGTCTCCTTATTTTTGACACTGGATGCCCCAGAATTCAATCCTCAGGCCTCATTTCTCTTCATCCTCATCCATCCGGGACCTCATTTAGTCTCATGTTTTTAAATACCATACTGACAATTCTCAAATTTCTATCTCCCACCTGAACCTCTTTGCAGATTTGTATGTATCTCTGCCCAGTCAGAGCTTTCCTGGAATGCCTGTAAGGGATCTCAAACCTAGTCTGTCTCACACTGATGTCCTGGAATTCCCTCTCAACTTTGCACTTTAGCACTCTTCCCTGTATCAGTTAATGACGTGTCTATCCTGTCAGTTCCTTGGGCCTGAAACTTTGAAGTTATCCTTGATTCCTCTCTTTTTAGCCATACCATGTCCCATCTATAATTAAATCTTATTGGCTACCTTCAAATCAAATCCAGAAGCTGCTGATTTCTTCCTAACCCCACCAATCCTACTTTGGTTTAAGCCACCTTCATCCTGCTGCTGGATTATGGCAAACATCTCTTAATTTTCTCTCAACTTCTACCTCTTGCTCTCTTAAGGACTATTTTCAACAAAGTAGGTAGGGGGATCCTATTTCTGTAAGTAGACAGATAACTTCTCTGCTCCAAAGTCTTTTAATTTCACTCAAAATAAAGGACAAAGTTCTTCCAGTGACCTGCAAGTTTCTTACAAGTGCTTCCCAAATATATATGCATACGTTTGCCATTAACAGCACCAAGGAAGTGGGTTGGAGCAAAGGTATACTGTGCTATAGAAATGACAAGAGATGATAAAGTAATAATGATAACAAGGTATAGTTGGGTTTGTAACATTAATAGGCCTAATACCTATAATAATAATATCATAATTAAGGAGAAAAAAGAATAGAGCTATGTAGGAATAATATTCCTATGTATCCCTACAATTAAACTAGTATAAATTTGAAGCTGATTCTGATAAGTTGTGTATGGTAAACCTTAGAGCAACCACATTGAAAATAGTTAAAATTATAAAAGATGTTAAGATGCTACATTAGAAAATATTTACCTAAGTCAAAACAAAGCTATAAAAGAAGAATAGAGAAACAAAAAAGAATATGAAACATACAGCAAACAAAAAGTAAAATAGCAGACATAAATCTAACTATATAAATAACAACATTAAATTTGAATGGATTAAATCACCCAATCAAAAGTCAGAGATTGTCAGGCAGGGCGTGGTGGCTCACGCCTGCAATCCCAGCACTTCGAGAGGCCGAGACGGACGGATCACGAGGTCAGGAGATCGAAACCATCCTGGCTAACATGGTGAAACCCCATCTCTACTAAAAATACAAAAAAAAATTAGCCAGGTGTGGTGGCGGGCGCCTGTAGTCCCAGCTACTGGGGAGGCTGAGGCAGAAGAATGGCGTGAACCCAGGAGGCGGAGCTTGCAGTGAGCCGAGATCATGCCACTGCAGCGACAGAGCTAGACTCCGTCTCCAAAAAAAAAAAAAAAGTCAGTGATTGTCACACTGAATTAAAAACATGATCCAATTCTATGCTGTCTACAGAAGACACACTTTAGACTCAAAGATACAATAGATTGAAAGTAAAAGGATGGAAAAAGTTACATTGTGCAGATAGCAACCACAAGAAAGCTGGAGTGGCTCTACTGATATCAGACAGAATAGACTTTTAAAACAATAAAGTTAAGAGATAAAGAAGGAGATTTTATATGATAAAGGTCATCCATTAGCAATATATAATAATTATAAACATGTATGCACCTAATAACAGCACCAAAATACATGAAGCAAAGAGAGAAACAAGTCAACAATAATAATTCAAAACTTCAATATCCACTTTCAATAGTGGATAGAACAATGAGAAAAAGATTATCATGGAAATAGAAGACCCTGAAGAACACCATAAACCCACCAGACTTAAGCACTCCATGTAACAACAGACTATGATGATCTTCTCAAAAGCACACAAATCATTCTCCGGGATATACCATGTGTTAGATCATTTTTTTAAATGCAGTACATTTAAAAGAATAGAAATAATACAAAGCATAATATCTGATCACAATGAAGTGATATTTGAAATACATAGCAGAAAAACAATTTGGAAAACTCACAAATGGGTGAGAATTAAACAACACATTTCTAAATATCCAGTGCATCCAAGATGAAATCAAAAGGAGAATCAGAAAATACTTTAAGATGAATGAAAATGAAGACATAGCATACCAAAACTTATGGGATGCAGGGGGTAATAAAGGATACAGGATTTTTTTTTGAGGTGATTAAAATGTTGTAAAATTGACTGCGATGATGTTTGAACGTATCTGTGAATATAACAACCACTTAACAGTACATATATGATGGGTGAATTGTGTGGCATACAAATTATGTCGCAATCAAGCTACTAAAAACTTTTAACTACATATCACCTGTGGGATTTTGTTTCAATATAGATTCTAATTTTGTGAGTCAGGGATGGGGCCTGAGATACTGCATTCTTAACAAGCCTATCCTATGTGATGCCAGTACCACTAGTCTCAGGTCCACCCTTTGAATAGCAAGGCCAATAGCATCAGACTTCTTATTACCTTTCTGATCTCATCTCCTGCCACCTTCATGACTGGATTCATGAGTGACTCAGAGGTGGATTACAGCCACCCACATCATTTCGTGTCCCTCAAACACACCATGCCTGCCTTTACCTCCAGCCTTTACAATTTCTTTCATTTTGCCCAGAATGGTCTCCCCACACTTGCACCACCCCCTTATATTTGCACAGCTTACTTAATTATTACTTTATTAATTACTTAATACTTTTTTCAAGTATTTGCTCAATTACCACCTCTCAGTGAGGGCTTCCTTGGCCACTCTACACAAACTGCAACACTATTCCTCGTACTTTCTTTTTCTATTGTCCTTCTTTCCTTTTTTTTTGTTTTTGTATTACTTAGTACATTGAAGTACCTAGCACTTTAACATGCTATTAATGTATGTATTATTTCAGTTTGCTATCAACCGTTACTACAATATAAACTTCACGAGAACATAGAATTTTTTTTTTTTTTTTTTTTTTTTTGAGACAGAGCTTCACTCTTGTTGCCCAGGCTGGAGTACAATGGTGCGATCTCAGCTCACTGTGACCTCTGCCTCCCAGGTTCAAGCAATTCTCCTGCCTCAGCCTCACGAGTAGCTGGCATGTGCCACCATGCCTGGCTAATTTTGTAATTTTTTTTTTTTTTTTTTTTTTTTTTGTAGAGACAGGATTTGTCCATGTTAGTCAGGCTGGTCTCGAACTCCTGACCTCAGGTGATCCACTCGCCTTGGCCTCCCAAAGTGCTGGGATTATAGGCGTGAGCCACTGCGCCTGGCGGAGAACATAGATTTTTGTGTTTTGTTGGTTATTACTGATGCATAGAACAGTGTCTCATGCATAGCAAATGCGCAATAAATATTTTTTCAATAAATATATGAAAATAAAAGGATAAGTGCTGTACGGATACGTAATAGATATAGGGGTGGTGCAAAGGAGAGTCAGGAGGGAGGGAAGGGTCAGCTCTGCTTATGTGTGTTCGGACAATTAAAGATGCAAAAGGTTAATAGCCACTCATATATGGTTTAAGAATCTTAGCAGGTGTTTTATGCATGCTTGCTTATTTACTGTTGTAACTTCAAGAAATGGTGAAATAGTGAATTTATTGGTTTTATCAGACTCTGCAATTTATAGGTCTTACTTGTAAAAACTGATGGTATAAGATCACTAAATTGTCACTTTCATCTCTCAATATTCTCTTATACATCTGGAGATTTCCTTGAAACTTGAAAAATGGGTCATCATTTTTTTCATCTTTAGAAATCTAACAGTGATTGTATGACAAGAGGAAATTCAAAACTCTTAAATATCAGACTCATTATTTGTTTATTGATTCTCTTTATCCTGGTGATATATTTGCAGGTTGCAGATATTTGTGAAGAAGAAGTGATATGGTTGGCTGTGTCCTCACCCAAGTCTCATCTTGAATTACAGCTCCCATAATCTCCATGTGTTGTGGGAAGGACCTGGGGGGAGGTAATTGAATCATGGGGGCGGGTTTTCTCGTGCTGTTCTCATGACAGTAAATAGGTCTCAAGAGATCTGATGGTTTTATAAAGGGCAGTTCCCCTGCACATATTCTCTTGCCTGCCACCATGTAAGATGTACACTTGCTCCTCCTTTGCCTTCCTCCATGTTTGTGAGGCCTCCCCAGCCATGGTGAACTGTGAGTTCATTAAACCTCTTTTTCTTTATGAATTACCCAGTCTTGGGTATTTCTTCATAGCAGTATGAAAATGGACTAATACACGAAGCTTCAAGATACTGAAAATTCTGTTTTGTATTTTGCTGTGAGCTACTGCTTGATTTTGGCATTGTATCAAATTTTCCATTGAAGTACAATTCAGTTACCCCAAAATAATGCTGAGAACTAACATCATAAATAAATTGCTGTTTGTGCTATAAATTCTTGGCTGATCATTCAGATCTACCATCTGTGCTTTTTCTTCTTGCTGCATGTCCTTGAGGCTGACTTCCTTGGACTACATTAGTTGGACCCTCTTTCTCTTACCCTTTGGGTTCTGGTTAGGTTTGGCCTATGGGAGTCATTGGCAGGAGAATGGAAGGTGGAAAGAGAGACAGTTTGGGGGATTTACTCCCATGGATCCCTCTCTGTGGGCTGGGATTAGGGATGACTGCATCTTCTACCAAAGGCTACCACCCTTGTCTTCACCTACAATCACAGCTCTTTCTGGGTCACCTGTAGATTTGGGGGTGGTAACAGCTCTCTTACTCTACCCTGTTGACGGCCCTAGTGTGCTCCACCAATCTATAGCTTTTGCTACGTCACATCCCACCTCTTTGTAAACAGATACACCATTCCCTCTTGGTTGGCTGAGGTTAGTCACTGCTCACAGCATTTCCTAGCACATCTTAAGTATATACTTAATACCAGTACCCAATAAGTTAATTTTGTAGAACAAAGGAAGCATCCCTTGAAAAAAAAAAAGAAAAGGATGCCTGGCTTTTTCAAATAATACAGTACAGCACTTTGGAGATTTCACTGGGGCTGTGAAGAAGTACATTGGCATCTTCAGGAGTTAATCTCTGAAGCTGTGTTCTAATATTTATTTAACTTGTCTTAGGGACATTTAAAGATATGGAGAAAATAAAAGTTGCAGATCCCTTTTTCCCATGCTGGTTGACAATACCCATGACACTCTAATTAGAAGTTACCATCGTGCATAGCTGAAAACAATGTAAATTGAACTCTTCTACCTTTAGTGGATGAAATGTCGGTGCCACTGCATAGCTCAACTCAGTCTACCAGCCACACACTTCTCCTAGTTTGGCTTTCATACACTCATTAGCTATTCCTTTAAAGAGTATTACCCAGTGGAAATGATTGACTGTATTGACTGAAAGTCTTGTAGCACTGTACTCGTTTGCAGAATTTTTTCAAGCAGAGCTGAGCTCTTCAGGGGCTTGGTGAAAATGCTGCAAAAGACTTTTTGATCTACACAGAACATCACTCAGAAAACTACTGACTTAATATTACTGTGTTGTTCCCACCCATTTCAATGGATGAAAAATGGCTGGCTTTCACCATGAAGAGATGTCATAGGAAACCAAATTGGTATCTCAGCTGCTTACATAAGACTAGTAAATCAGTATCTCCAAGATAACTTCTATGTACTTAGTAAGTACCCAATACAGTAGTTCCCCTTATCTGCATGGGATATTTTTCAAGACCCTCTTTGGATGCCTGAATCCACAGATAATGCAGAACCCTATGTATACTATGTTCTTTCAGTTTCATAACTGAGATGGCTACTAAGTAACTAAGTCAGCAGGCAGGTGGCACAGACAGGGTGGATCTGCTGAATGGAGGGATGATTTACATCCCAGGCAGGATGGAGCAGGATGATGTGAGATTTCATAGCTCACTCAGAGCAGTCCACGATTTTAAACTTATGAATTGTTTATTTCTGGAAGGTTCCATTTAATATTTTTGGACTGTGGTTCACCATGGGTGGCTGGAACTGAAGAGGATGAAACCATATGTAAGGGGGAACTACTGTAAATATTTAACCATTTTATTAATTAACCATAAATTATAGTGCTTGAAAAGCCCTATTTATATCTTAATTGAGATAAAAGTAGTCACAGCATGTGGGTCTTCATCTTCAAAGAGACGTTTCTAGAAAAATGTTTAAAATTTTAATATGACATTTATTATCATTTAGTAGGTTATTTATAATTTGTGGTTCGAGTATTACTAATAATGATTTAAATAGACATTATTCTTTTGAACATAACTTGCTGCATTATTTAGTGTGATTTATTTTATGTCTTGGGACAGAAAACATTTCTGATGGGATTAATTTTCAATTTCATTATGAAAATAGATGAGATACAATATGATATATTGGTAAGAGCCAGAATGTGAATCAAAAGACATGAGTTTAATTCTTAGCTCATCTACATACAAGGCAATATTGAGCAAGCTGTTTATCTTCTCAGAACTTTCAGTTTTGTCATCCAGAAAAACAGAAATGATATCTGAAGCAGAGCTACCTCCCAAGATTTTGGGGTGAGATCTGTGCTTTATAAACTGAAAATCAATTATATATGTAAGTGTGCAGAAAATATGATGTGATTTAGAACATTTTACTTAACAGGAAGCTGTTGCAGAGATACACCTATCCCCAACTTGGCCCACAGCTGGAGCACACATGTGGTTTTTCCTCCTCAAATGATTTTTGGTTACAACCATGCTTCCATTTTATAATTGTGATGATCCTGTGGCAATCTTAATTTTCTCAAAAAGCTGTTGGTGATTTAACTTTCACTAAAAAGGGCAAGCACTTAGAAAAAAATTCCCTTTTATATCCCTTATTCTTTTGTCTTCCCCTCTATAACGTCAGAGGATAAGGCTTCATTTCCAGATTGGACATAAAAATGATTTTTTGAACACTTAATCTCAGGGAGTAAGTACCTTGAGTACTGTCTTCCAATTGTAAAATGGCCAGAAGTATATCTAATAATAGATGGGTCTGCTATAAGGTATTCACTTGGTTTTACATACCAGTTACCATAAAGTCAAAGGCCATTTTATTCAGCTAACCTACCAGTAAGCTTAGATACATTATGATTGGCGTCTTTCAATATTAGGTTAAATTGGAACCAGCTACAACATATAGGGGGAGTGATGTTTAAAACAAAATATTTTAAAGACTATCCATATTCTACAATGCACATTTTTCCCAGTTGTCCATGGATGGCAATTTTAATGTTCCAGACTAAGCTCAATATACAGGCAAGAATGATTGCAAAACAATCTCTGCTTTTCAAGTAAGCTAAAATAAAAGTATCAGGAGCATTTGCACAAAATTTTGGTAGTAATAAAGTAATCTTTAATTTGCTAAGGTAGTACTTGCTGTTTGGATGTTATATGATAGTTTTGTATAACCCAGAACCTCTCTGGATCAGTCTTATTTGATGAGTTAGATGTGGCAGCAAAGTCTTACCTGGCCTTTTCAGCAAGCCTCAATGAAGCTCAAACTATGGGGATAATGAATGAGTATGAGCCAGCCCAACAGGCTCACAGCTGGGATGAGAAGTATAGGAGCTATGGTGAGCTCATTCATGTTTTACTATCAGCTTGGGTGGAGGGGGGAAGCAGAGAAACCTGATTTGTCAAATTTGCCAATTCCTGTGGTGTAAATGCTTCCACTTTGGCTGATTTCAAGCTACCAATAGTTTAATAACCTGTTCACAACATTCCTGAAAGCTTAGCGGTCAGCTCCCATAAGCTTGTATGAGCCAACTCCAGCATATTAATAAGATAAAGTATGGAGGAAAGGACGAGAGGATCCTCACACCCATGCCATGCCAACAAAGAGGGCTGAGAAAGGAGATTACTCTCAAGTCCACGAGTCAGCCAAAAGGAGGGATTTATTGTATTCTTTAAGTTGCAGAGGTTACATCACTACTACCAAGCAATATAAACCCCTTTCTCAATTTCCTATGTGAACTAATTGGCAAGTTCTACATTGATCATTATTGAGGGAGCTCAAAAAGGAAGATGGGTACAGTTAATGTATGCGTTACTCATGGAAAAAGGGGGTAGTAGTTTAACAGGACACACACACACACACACATATGCATGCCTTTAATGCTAAGAAACTAGCTGAATTGGATTACTGGATTGAGAAAATTGACTAATGAGCTATTGAGCTCTAACGTGAGAATTCTCAAGCGATAGATACATTGAAGGAGGGCTGGGCTTTAAATGGGGAGATTTGTAAATAGGAAAAGTCAGTGGAAGTAAGTCAGTACTGAGGGAAGTTTTAAGTGGAAATCATAATCCAAGCTTTGAGCTTATTCAGAATAGTTTATGACCTCATTACATGTTGTATTTATATTTAAACATGCATTTCCAGGCCAGGCACGGTGGCTCAGGCCTGTAATCCCAGCACTTTGGGAGGCCGAGGTGGGTAGATCACAAGGTCAGGAGTTCGAGATCAGCCTGACCAACATGGTGAAACCTCGTCTCTATTAAAAATACAAAAATTAGCCGGACATGGGGACGCGCGCCTGTAATCCCAGCTACTCAGGAGGCTGAGGCAGGAGAATAGCTTGAACCTGGGAGGCGGAGGTTGCAGTGAACCGAGATCCCACCACTGCACTCCAGCCTGGGCAACAAAGCGAGACTCCATCTCTAAATAAATAAATAAAATGCATTTCCTAGGTTAATGAAAACAAATCAGCATGTCGTAGGGATTGTGCTGGGCTAGAAAAGGTCAGTCCTCAAAGTCCTGAGGGGAAGGACGAGACCAAGAAACCAACATGTAAAGTCATAATTAAATTTAACATGAGAGAGGCTATTATAGAAACGTTGGTCAAAGCAGTCTGAGCGCTCATAGGAAGTAGCATCTTAGCTATCCAGGGAACTCTTTAAAAAAGTATATCAATTTAAATATACTGTAGGTTCATAATAAATCAAATTTCAAATTTTAGATATTTGATCCTTAAAAATGGCTGATATGTAATGCTTATTATCTTAGTTATAGCATCATTGAAAATATAATTTTTAGTTTAGTAATAAACATTTAAAAGTTTTTTGAGGAGTAATGTTCAATGAACTTCAACTTAAGTGTATAATTTGTCAAGTGTTGGAATATGTATACATCATTTCTACAATCATTAGATGATTATGTCATCTCTGAATAAAGACAGTTTTACTATTTCCTTTTTAATCTGGATGGCTTTATTTCCTTTTCTTCTTTATTGCATTGGTTGGACCTCTAATACAATGTGGAATAGAGATGGTGAAAGTGGACAATCATGTCTTTTTCCTGATTTTAGGGGGAAAGCATTCATCATTCAGTCTTTCACCATTAAGTATGATCCTAGCCATAGGTGTTTTTGCAAATGTCCTTTATCAAATTGTGGAAATTCTGTTTTACAGTGAGGGTTTTTGTCATTGCTGAATGTTGGATCAGGTCAAATCCTTTTGTGTGCTGAGATTATTATTTGTGCTTTTTAAAATTATGTTAATATGGTGAGCTGCTTTGATTGATTTTAAAATAAACCAAATTTCTGATATACCCCTCAGTAGGTCACAGTGCTTTATCCTTTCTTCATGTTGTTGGATTCAATTCAATAATATTTTGTCGAGGATTTTTTGCATCTATCTTTATAAGAAATGTTGGCCTGCCCGGTTTTTTTTTTTTTTTCCCAATGTCTTTTCCTTATTTTTGTATCAGGGTAACCCTGTTCTCATATAGTGAGTTGGGAAGTATCTTACTCCCTTCAATTTTCTAGAAGACTTTGCATACAATTGGTATTAATATTCCTTAAATGTTTGATAAAATTCTCCAGTGAAGCCATTTGGGCCGTGTGTGTGTGTGTGTGTGTGTGTGTGTGTGTGTTTTGTAGGAAGAATTTTAATTACAAAATCAATATTATTAATGGCTATAGGACTATTTATGTTATTAATTTCTTCTTGAGTGGCCTTTGGTAGTTTGTGTCTTTCAACACATATCTCCACTGCACCTAAGTCACCAACTATTTTGGCATAAAGTTATTATACTTTTAATGTTTTAAGGATTCTTAATGCTCCATCCTCTCTCATTTCTGGTACTGGTCATTTGTATCTTCTCTGACTTTTTTCTAATCAGTGTGGCAAGAGTTTTTATCAATTTAATTGATGTTTTCAAAGAACAAGCTTTTCATCTCATTGAATTTTAAAGATTTTATCAATTTCTACTCTAATCTCATTTTTCACTAATATTCTTTGCTTGGGAATATTATTTTCTTGTAGTAATATTCCTTGCTCAGAAATACACTATGAATATAGCCCTTCTAACTTTGTTTTAATGATTCTTTTTACTTTTATTTGCTTATTTATACAAAATATGCTTCATGTAGACAACATGTGGATTGGTTGATTCTTCTTCTCCCTCTTCTTCTCCTTCTTCTTCTCCTCCTCCTCCTTCTTCTTCTTCTTCCTTTTCCTCTTCTTCTTCCCTTCTTCCTCTTCTTCTTCTTCGTCATCTTCTTTCTTCTCCCAGTTTGAAATTTTTTGCCTTTTAATTGGTATGCCTAGATCATTTATATTTGTTGAGATTAGTCACACAGTTGGGCCTAAATCTGCCATCTTGCTGTTTGTTCTCTATTTACCTGTTCTTTGTTCCCTTCCCTCTTTTTCTGCCTGCCTTTGGATTATTTTTATGATAACATTTTAATGATTTTGTTTGGTTTTGCTCGTTGTTTTAGGTGAAGAGTGTTCATCTTTTTCTTATTGGTGTCAGTTGTCAAATGATTTATATCACTTCTATTTCCACTTTCCCACCCCCACCTCTTTCTGGCCTTTGTTCTATAGTTCATGCATTTATGTCTACATATATAAGCCCACCTCAAATATTATTATAGTCACTTTAAACAATTTTCTTTCAAGAAGACTTAGAAAAATAAGAAAAAGTCTTTCATGTATATGTGAATATTTTCCGTTCCCAGTACTCATCATGTTCTGTCAATCTAGATATTAGTCTGGTTTCATTTTTCTTCTCCATTATGTCTTCAACATATATTCTATCTCATTGTTGTAGAGCCTTTGATCACTAATACCTGGCAACTAATGAATAAGTTACTAATTGAAATAAAATTTAAGAGTTTTCTCACTCAAAGGGATACTTGCATTTCAAATGAGAACGCAAAGACTAAAGGATATTCTGTGCTTTAGAAATTAATACTTAATGGTGGAATTTCAGACAGGGAGAGATCTACCAGGGACTGGGATCCTGCTCAGTGCTTCTCAAACTATACCACTCTACCTATAGATTTTTATGTCAATAAACTTCTCTCTCAACAGTCCAATCTGGGTGTTGAATGTACAGTTCAAAATTATAACTTAAGATAATTATTTGGAGGAAAATTTTGCCTATACATTCCAAGGTAAATATGTGAACTTAGAGTCTGAAAAAATCTATTGAGTACATATTTATGGCAAACATCTATAAAACATCTATAAATATATATTTGTCAATTATTTTAAGCCAAGGTGAAATGTCCATTAGATACATATGCAAGTTGGTGTGTTGTCACGGTTTTTAATACTACACTTGGCTTATGACATGTGCAAATTATAAATCCCTAAACCAACATAATAATCATTTACAAATTGTATTTTCTCAGTGTTTTGAAATGAGTATGATTTTAATTATTTCTGCCTCACCTTATATCAAAAAATATTTATAGACTAAAGGGAGTAGATTATAACAGTATCTTCTAAGAAGACTTACATATGAGATCATTATTTTCTAATTATATTGACATTTAATTTTTAGGTATTCAGAGAACGACTACCTTCAGATTATCACAGATATACAGAGTTGTCCATGGAAACGGCAAGCAGAAGAATATGCAAATTTTAGGTAATTTTTTTCATAAATAATATGAGATTTTAAAAATGTCTTGTTCATTTGCTTTGTAGAAAAATAGGCAATATGTTATTAAAAAGAGAAGTAGAACCAACCCCAGCTGGCAATGAGGCCAACTGAATTCTAAGACCCTCTCATGAGGCACAGGGCATTCCATCTCCATCTCTTGTGTATAAATTTGCATTATGTTACTGTTTGAATTACAAAAGTTCCCAAATTCAAAAGAAAGATTTTAGTATGTTTTGTAAGTTATATTTTAGAAGATGTTGTGTTTTTTGGTACCATTTACATTTAGTATTTATTTGTTTAGTAAATAAAATGTCATCGTATTAAAGTATGTTTGGAAAACATAATCTCTAATCCCATCCCTTTAGAACAACTTTTGTTTTCTACCAGTTTTTCCTCATTCACTTTTTAACACAAGTGACATTCAGGGGCGTGAGTTGCTTTAAGTAATAACCCAGGAAGGAGGTGTCAACTGGCAAAACCAGGTTATCACTTGACCATTATAGGGCTGTAGCTGGAAAACTTGTAGCCCATCCAGACAGGAATAAATTTTGTTAAAGCAATATGCAGTGAGGCAGCATCAGTACTTATCTGATAGTTCTTACCCCCATACCTCCACATATCATAGATCAAGGTCAGTTGTCTCTGTGCTTGGTCTAGATTGCTCTGGTTTTTTTGGGGGGCGGGGCTTCTTTTCTTTTTCCTCCTCCTTCTTCCTCATCATCTTCTCCTTTCTCTTCTTCTTTCCTCCTCCTCCTCCTTTTTCCTCTTCCTCTTCTTCTTTCTTCTTTCCTCCTCCTCCTCCTTTTTCCTCTTCCTCTTCTTCTTTCTTCTTTCCTCCTCCTCCTTATTCTTTTTCTTCTCCTTCCTTCCTTCTTTCCTTCCTTCCTCCCTCCTTCTCCTCCTTCTTCCTCTTCCTCCTCCTTTTCCACATTCTGATTTTTTCCTGTACATCCCATTCCAATTTTGTGCTATGCCAAATTATTTTATCCTATTACAATCCAGAGACATGTCTTTATCTTTACTCATTATTTTCAAAGTTTACTTGAAGCATTAAACTTGTAAAAAAATTACTAAAGAGATTTTGCTTTCCCCTAAAATACTCTAAGAAATATCTGCAGTATGGTTCTCTTTTTTTATGTGGGAAGGCAGCTCTTCTTGTTTGCCTTATATAGTGGCTCTGCCTGTTCCTTCTTTAGTCAGAATATGCTGGTATGATTGGACCAACTGCCTTTGATTCTGCTACCAATGTGAGGAGGGTTCTGCTCCACCCCCAGTAGGTGAAAGAGTGCCTTCCTGGTGGTGTCAAAGCTAAAATGGGTATATCTTCCCTCCACTGGGTAGACACATGGATATCATGACTTCCTGGAGGATACCATTAAACATCTTTCCTATCTGATATTTTAGGAAGAGAGGCTGGAAAGGGGATTCCTGTTTAACGATTTCATTTCCAGGACGTTTTATGCCAAATTCAATCTATTTGAGACTGGATTTGAGAGGTCCTGGTGGCAGGAAGATGAGATTGAAAATTGCACAATCATAACCTAAATGATCACAGGGTCAACAAGTGATAACAGAGTCTGATTTTGAGAAACCTTTCTGCATATGCAGAATAGACAAAAAAAGAAGAGGGAGAGATTCAGGTAGTGAGCTATTGAGGATCAATCTAAGATAATTAGCTGGAAAGATAGATTTGTAATGACTGTAATGATCAAAGTAGGGAGTATAGGAGCTTTTACTTCTGGCTGTTAAGTTCAGACCAAGCCTCTTGAGAGTAATGAAAATAAAACAAAGTCTACCAAACACCTGTGTGAGGACACTGGAGCAGGTCCTCCCTGCCACGAAGGCAGGGAGAATTTAAAGGACTAAAGCCCAGAAGGTGAAAAGAACCCATCAATTTGGGCTGGTTTTTGTCATAAAGAACTTGCCGAATACAAAAGCAAAATTTGGCTGAGAGGCAGAGAAGCTGAGCAGAGCTTCCAGCAATCCCTGGAAAAACCAGTTTTCAAAAGAACTGAAGGCCAACTTTGAATCCCTGGAAAAACCAGTTTTTAAAAGAACTGAAGGGGCTGGGCGTATGGCTCACGCCTGTAATCCCAGCACTTTGGGAGGCTGAGGCAGGTGGATCACGAGATCAGGAGATCAAAAGCAGCCTGACCAACATGGTGGAACCCCGTCTCTACTAAAAATACAAAAAAAAAAAAAAAAATTAGCCAGGCGTGGTGGCATGCACTTGTAATCCCAACTACTCAGGAGGCTGAGGCAGGAGAATCGCTTGAACTCAGGAGGCAGAGGTTGCAGATTGTGCCATTGCCCTCTAGCCTGGGTGACATGACAGAGAGACTCCGTCTCAAAAGAAAAAAAAAAAAGAACTGAAGGCCAACTTTGAAACATTTCCATCCTGAGCTGGATTTAGATCTGCCCTTAACTTAGATGCCCGATAGGAGCAGAAGGAAATCCCTTCTTGGGGATTCCCTTGGGGGAAGGTAACCTTATTCAGAGCCTTAAATCATCTCTATAAGTATCCACTCACAATGTCTGGCTCCATTTAATAACTTATTATCTGTAAATCTTTTGTCTTCCTTTCCTTTCTTTTTTTTGGACAAAAATCAGTCTCTTCAAATCCAGAGATGTATGAAAGTCACTGCTGCAGATTATGAGGTATAGAATCTGTATAGATGGCTGGTCCATGGAGGGTACAGCCATTATTACCTTAGTACCATTTTCACATTAAAAAAAAATGCATCAGTAACCATGACAATTACTCCAAATGGCCTATCCATCCCTTCAGGGCCAATTTAAGTAAACATCTTAGGCCAGGTGCAGTGGCTCATAACTGCAATCCAAGCACTTTGGGAGGCTGAGGTGGGTGGATCACTTGAGGCCAGGAGTTCGAAACTGGCCTGGCCAACATGGTGAAACCTCATCTCTACTAAAAATATAAAAATTAGCTGGGCATAACGGGGCATACTTGTAATCCCAGGTACTCAGAAGAATCACTGAGGCGGGAGAATCACTTGAACCTGAGAGGCAGAGGTTGCAGTGATCTAAATTGTACCACTGCACTGCAGGCTGGCTGACAGAGTGACTCCACCTCAAAAAAAAAAAAAAAGTAAACCTCTGGGGCTATAATACATTTTGTTGTCATAGAAGAGAACAGGCACACAGACATTTATTTATTGACTTGAATATTTATTATATTGTAATGTTCTTTTTATGGGCATATTTCTAAACTATGCACTGTATAGTTTAGAGCACTGTAGTCTTTTTTTGTTCCTGCTAGAGTGCTGGGCACAAAATAGGGCCTCAACAAAAAAAAATATTAAAGAAATGGATGCATGAAAGTAAACAAAAAAGTGTCATGTTTTCTTACTGAACTCAAAGAATTTATAGTCACTTTAGAAAGACAAGAAATATAAGTATGAATATTTATGATTGAATATCAGAATGAGTGATTTAGACAAATACTGTCATATATTAATGCAAGATCACTGTGGGATATAGTTTTTTGAAATATTTTGTGAAAAGAGGCAGAACTTGAGCTATAACTCTGAAGATGGCTGCAAAGGGAGGGTGAGACCAATTTGGGAGTGATGAGGCCAGGAAGAAAGGCAATAAGATTCAAGGCCAGCTGGGCTGGAGCAATGAACTTGTACTATTAGGTACGCAAGATAAAGAGGATAATTTCAGGTAGACAAGGAAGGATCTGATGCATGGAGATCTGGTTATCAGAGTAAAGTCCACAGACATTCTGTAGCTACCAGGAGCCCAAGAGCAATATTGCTAGCAAAGGAATTACAAATTGAATTTACTGTTTTAGGGAAAGTATTCGGACAGCATAATGAATGAAAGCAAGTTGGAGTATTAGGAGGGAGGGAGTAGTGTAGAAAAATCAGAGCAGGTAGGGGCTGGTTGTAGACAAGTAACTACAGAATGGTGACCAACTACAACATCAACGGTAGCTATGAAAATATCAAGAGAGAGATGCTTGACTATGAGCCCTTTGGGGACATGGCATTATCTTGTTTATCTTTGTATCTCCAGTGCCTATCTCATAGATGGTACCCAATAAATTGCTCTATGACTGAAGACTTGGTAGGACTTGGTTACTTGTTGACTTCCAGTTCTCTCATTGAAGGAGAAGAAAAATAAAGTCAAATGAGAAATCCTGCATCTGAAATACTCATGCTGCTACTGACAGAAAGATTTCAAAGAGAAATTGGATTGAGAAGATAAAAGCATCTTGGACAGGATGTGTTTGAGCTGACTTTAAGACAACTGGATACAGAAGACCTTTTGCTTGGTCTGGGGAAAATATAAATGCTAAGAGAAAATGAATTCTCTCAAAAAAGAAAAGCAACTGCAGTTTAAATCTGGCTTTTGTAAGAGATAGGGCTTCTCCAAGTCTATCTTCTCAGCAATTTTATTTTAACTTTCTTGTTGTGCTACGAGGGGGTTTGTCCTCTTTTTATAGATTCCTAAGCTTTTACTCATTCAGCACTTAATTGTGGGTCTGAGAACTTGGCAGCTTGGCGCTTGAGTCTCAAACTTCCTTCAGCTTTTACCCGGAAACATGAAAGGCTTAACTAGGAAGATTCTTAATCTGAAGTCCATGAAAGCGGTTTCCTAAAACTCTCAAAATTGTGAGATTTTGTACACGTTTCTGGGAAAAGAATCTGTGGCTTTCATCAGATTCTCCAAGAGTCTAGAACCTTCCACATGGACTAATGTATTTCTAAGGATCTTTCTGGCCCTGAGACTCTGGGATTCAATTGCCTATCCAGGATGCCTATCCAATCACCTTCCAAGATGGCATGGTTATCCCAAGCATAGGTGTGAGTCTGGCTCAGATTTACCTGAAATTTACCGCAGATTCTAAGTTTCCGCTATGAATTTACATTTTGTGAGATACTAGTTGAACTCAGTTAAAGAGAGATTTAAGTAAGAGTTGAAGATGTCCTGCTCTCTGTTCTTTCTTGGTATCTAATTTCTTTTAGGTGTAGCAGTACAAAGTCAACAATGTTGAGGTGTCTGCCTTTTCTGCTTTTAAAAGCTTGATTGATTCTCCTATAAGAGGTCCCCACCCCCTTCCCTCCAAGGACAAGCTAATGCACAGAATAATTTGTGAAAAATCTACCTGGATTTCAGTCTAAGAAATTATTGCTCTTCACAGTCTCTCCCTCTGATTTTTAGAAAACTGATGGATAATCATTTGCTTGAGCGTGACACTCAGCTATTTGAGAATAACATTGAGATGGTTAAATTTAAATTAAACATGATATGAGACGCCCTCTAGTCCTCCTTCCCCAGTTCTTCTGCTTCACCCATGAAGGCTTCTTTGTGAAGCTCTGGAAACTTCTGGTAAGCAGGTTTTATCCCCGCAGATCTTTGAGCTCCAGTAATTAGTCTTAGATTCCCTAGGTAACTTGCATGGTAATTACTGCATTAGCTTTCTTGAATAGTTTTCTAACTTAAAAGAACTGTATTCATTTCTGTAGCCAATTACAGAAAACTAATAGGTACACAGTAACAGTCCTTAATTTCTATTTTACTTTCTTCCCGCCCCCAACCCCGAAATACACACACTATTATTTTGTTTCTTAGTTTCTTTTGGAGCCACTAATACCATTTGATTTTTATAGACATCGTCAGGTTTCAAAGAGATGAGCTGGAATCCAAGATGACTGAATATTATCAATCACATATTTACTGAAAACTTAGTGGCAGGAAACAGTGCTATTATGTCAACCCACACATTTATGACTCATGCAAATGAGATACCTTTCAAATGACTTGTAAAACAGGTATTTCGTGCCTGATTACTTTGTTACAGATAACTATTACACTGTGGCAATTTTATTAAATCTTGTATTATCCCCTCAGGTTTGATTAAAATTTCTTGGAAGTTATTCCTTTGTCTTTCTTGTGTTGGATATGTGAGAAAAGATTCCAGTGCTGTATTTGTAGATTAATTGATATTTCTAAAATAACAGTCACCATCTTGCTTTCATTTTTATTTATGTTCTTTGAAGAAAATAGTGTTAAACAAAATACACCTGCATATCTACCACCTATGTTAATTGTTTCAGCTATATGACATTTACATTATTCAAACCATACCATTTAATGATTTAACTTTGTGAAACGATATAAACTATGAAAAGAGATGGGATAAGTTAATCAAATTTTTGCATTAGATCATAAAACTGGAAAATCACACTTAGTTTTACCACAAAGTTTTCACTTTATTTTCTGAACTATTTCTGCAAAAGCAACAGTATTGTCTGACTTTGGTAAGTGTTTTGTGAGCTTACACTTTTTCATTCAATTAACATTTATTGACCCTTATTATGTCCCAGGCATTTTGTTCTGTAGGACAAAGTTCTTGGAGAAAACCAAAAATCATCTCTGCTAGGGGCTTCTTTCAATAATACAAGACTAAGTTCATTTTTCTGAGCCTCTAAATGTTTGCTGTTTACAATTCATACAGGGTGACTACATTGACAGCTGAAAGCAATACATATTTTATTTTTTTTTAATTTAAGAAGTGTGTACTTTATGATAGGTGATTTGGGTCAGCTGTCAGATTGAAAAAGCTTTTTTCTTTGTTTCCTCTGCATCAAGACCATTTTTCAGCATTAATATACTGTCATATCATCTTCTATTTGTCATTACCATACAGCATGCCTGTGCATTTAGAAAAAGCAACAGAAACCACACCATGTCATTACTTCTTCCGTATTTAATAACAGAAACTAACTCTTGCACATTTAGGGACTAGCTCCTCTCCTTGGTCTTCAGAATATAAACTTTGCCATCAAAGTATATGGAACTCACGTGGGGTTCACTGGTCTTCTAAATTCTACTTCAAAATTTATCTCCCAAGTTGTACTCAATATTAGCTATATATTTTTATGTTCACATGTCAAATACGCTCCCTTTCAGCCTGCCTTGTGTTTCAAATTCTCTTTTCCTTACAACATTGCTTGCCATGTCTTCATTGGTACATTACATTGTTTACACTGGTACAATATCAAAGTAGATAGATCTTTCTCCAGTGTTTTAACATTGTTCCTTCACTCATGAGTTTATATTTCAATTGACTTCCTATCCTTTGCTTTAATCATCATATTCTTTTATATTTCATTTTACCTTGCGTTAGTTCTGACACTCTACTCAAATATATGAGCTGGTCTTTTACAAACTGAACAATATCAATGTACGCATTAGCTGTTAAGGGAAAAACTTAGACATCTGAGTTGCTGATTGAATTTGGACTTTTTGAAGAGTTTTACTTATTATTCCTTTAAATTTAAATGTTTATTTTTAATTGATGAATATTGTATCTATTTATGGAATAAAATATGGTGTTTAGATATATGCATACACTGTGGAATAATTATATCAAGCTAATTAACATATCCATCAGCTCATATGCTTAACATTTTTTTTTTTAGTGAGAACATTTAAAATCTGCTCTTTTAGCAGTTTTGAAATCTGCAATACATTATTAGGAACTATGGTCACCATGTTGTGCAATGGATCTTGAAAAATGTATTCTTTCTGCCCAACTGAAACTTTGTACCCTTTGACCATCATCTCCTCCCAACCTGTTGTAACCACCATTCTCCTCTGTACTTCTATAAGTTCAACTTTCTTAGATTCCACATGTAAGTGAGACCATGCTGTATTTGTCTTTCTGTGCCTAGCTTAGTTCACTTAGCATAATGTCCTCCAGGTTTATTCTTGTTGTCTGCAAATGACAGAATTTCCTCATTTTTTAAGGCTGTATACTATTCCACTGTGTATATATACCACATTTCATTTATGCATTCAGCCATTGATGGACACTTAGGCTGATTCTACATCTTGGCTATTGTGAATCATGCTGTAGTAAACGTGGGAGTGTAGGTATCTTTTTAACATATTGATTTCATTTCCTTTGGGTATTTATTCATTTTCTTTCTTTAGCTGTCATGTTATGTGGGGCCCTAGGAGTTTGGGTTTCATCTAGTATGTGATGGTGGAATAATTTAACATAAAATGAAGGTTAAATATAGATGTCCTGGTTACAGTACTAAAATTTTTTTTTACTTTTATCCTGGAAGAAATTTAACTTTTTTTTTAACCCCATTTAACAAATGAAGAGGTAGAGGTTCAGAGAATTGAGATGAATTTTCCAAGGTGTCATCACTAGTAAATGAAGGAACTGGATATCTAGTCTTGGAATTCTCAATATCCATTGCTGCCTCTGCCATCACATGTCAAAATGATTAGTGCAGTAGACTTGTGCAGGATAGATAGGACAGGTGGCCTCTTCTGCACTAGGCCAGGTGTGAAGTGATGAAGACATGGACTGAGAAGCCCAGTAGAGCAATTAGAAGAGAGATGCTGGGGTGGGGGCAGGGAACACTCAGCAGTTTCAGGGAAAGGGAAAAGTGGCAAGATGATGAAATGAGGCTTCTCCAGTTATTGAGGTCTCGTAATATTCTTGGCTTTTCTGAATACCATGTCTTCCATTTTGTATCTCACTAGATTCATTAAGGGGCAATCACTGATGTCTGACTTTCTGATTCTAAATGTACAGGTCATGCCACCTTCCCAATTTTTTGAGGGAGCCCTAGTTTGAAGATCAAACTCTACTCTGAGATTAGTGTCATGGATTAACCTGAAGCAGGGATAACTATCAATGGCCGTATCTTACCTGTCAGTGTGATGTCAGCCTGATGATCACACAGACTACAGACAGCTCCCCTGTAGGTTGCTGGGATTTTTCCCAATGTACCAAGTGGCTAGTTCAATAGACAACTCTATTTTAACTGAGGTATAGAAGTGTTGCTAAAAAAAAAAAAGGTGGTGTCTATTTGAAGCTCTTAATTTTCCTCCAATCTATTGGGGCTGAAATGGAATGTTTTCCTGCCTTTGGAATCCCTAAATCACTGGATTTCTTAGATCATTTTTGTTTTGTTTTGTTTTGTTGAGATAGGGTCTCACTATGTGGCCCAGGCTGGTCTCGAACTCCTGGACTCAAACGATCCTCCCGCCTCAGCCTTCTGAGTAGCTGGGGCTAGATCACTGTTTTCTTAATAACATAAACTACTCCTTTGGTGTGAAGCAAGCATTCATTGTGAGCCAGTCGATTCTAAAATCACAGTATGTCAGCATGCCATCTCGATTTTATTTTTTGTTTCATTTCTTAAATACTCAAAGATGCTTTGTCCTCCACGACACAGCCAAATCCTGGAAGGAGCTGTCTATACCTACTCTTTCATAGTACCTTCTACTTATTCCATGACCTTCAAACTGGTCACCATGAACCACGATGAATCCTTCTCATCTACTTCTTGCCCAATAACTGGAGGGACTACGGACTTTGGCCACATCGCTCCAACCACTTCCACCCCTGTCCCAACCAGTTTAGAACCAGTTATCCCTTCCTCAAGGAAGCCTTCCCTGGACAACCTGATTAAGTCATTGCTGATGTATTATCCTGAAATTCACCTTCATTACACTAGCCACGATTAATACATTTTCATTTGTGTGTGTATGTGTGTGTGTGTGTGTGTTTATTTAATTTACAGACCTGGTTAATCTGAGTCATGTGTTTTATGTAATGCATCAGGAAGAACAAAGGATCTTTCTAGGTGGTTCAGAAAATAGGTCAAGACTCACTATAGGAACTAGGAGTTGGAAAGGGCTGGGGAGTACAGTCTGGTTTCTAGGCTCAGCTTTAAGTTGACTCCATGTGTCTTGTTTGTTTCAGGCATTTTATTATTGATGTTTCTTGTTTGTTATCCCTAATCTTTCATTTTCTTTTAAATTTGGTCTCCCCTGTAAGTGAATAAGTTACTACTAGAACATCTTAAAGGCAGCATTTTACCTTTGCCGCTGGTTATTTATGGCAACGTCTTTATTCTTATTAGGCTAAGCCAGTTTTCCTAGCCAGTGTCTTTATCAGTAAAATGGAGCAATACTTAACCTCTGTGAGTTTTTATGAATATTCAATATGTCAAATGCTCAGTACAGAGTCCGTTATATATTAGAATCTCAGTACATGGTAGCTATTCTGATTATTTCCAGTTTAATATCATTTTTCTGGCTTACAATTAATATTTTACTAACTAGTTTAAACTCTTGGTATCTGCAATAAATACAGCAAGTCTGTGATGGAGCAATAATGCTATAATAGTTTCTGTTCCAGTCCTCTGCCTAGGGGGATGTGTAAACAATTATAAACCCCAGTTTTGCTTTTGTGATCATTTCATATGGATTATACCACGTTCTTGGTAAGGACCAACTCTTCCTGTTCAGTTCGTTCTGTTTGAACTTTCTTTGGTCTTTTCATGATGGAAAGTAGGTCACACCAAGCAGAAAGTATTAAACTTCAACTTTCTAGGTTATCGTCTTTCTGTGCATTATTTTCCGTAGAAAAGGATTTACCTTTATATGAACTGTCTGTGGCTTGTCCCTCCCTTTCCAGATGGCCGGTCAAACCACGTGCTCTGAGGTCTAATCAGGAATCGCTCTGAATTCCCTGAAAATTAATCAGCTCGAGTACAGGCAGAGCCAAGAGTTACGCTTCCCGCCCCGCCCCGCCCCGATTACTTAGCCCTTGACTAGGGCTAAGTAAGGGCTGAGGAACCCAGGGTAGGAAGGATCATTCTTATTTGAGATTCTGCTGGGTGAAGCCTAAGGGCATAGATGAAAAGTTAGGATTTGGAAGGGAGCCAGAAGCCAAAAGCAGTTCCCAGAGGCCAGGCAAAAACAGAAGCTGAGTGTGGGACTGAAGCCAAAAAGCGGAAGATGATGAATTCCACAGCGAACCGTGGGAGCCGTCCTGGAACAATGCCTGAGATGCGCGCTGGCTTTCTGGGAGCAGTTAGGGCCCCTTTAGGTATGTGAACCCGCCTCACTAAATGGCCATGAGCAGAACTGAACTGCCTACCTGTTTCTCCACCTGTGCAAGACACAGTTTCTCAGAGCACAGACGAAGCTCCTTGAAATATACGTGCATTGCTGGCCCTTGCCTAAGCCTACAGTTAGGACTTGGCCTGGTAAATTGAAGTTCATGAAATAATGAGACCTTTTATAAAAGACAGTGGCATAAATACAAAATATACCACGAACATTTCCCTTAAGAAATGTTTCACAGAGTAGCATATTGGTGTAATTACACATAAGACTGATTCAGCATTATAATTACAAAACTGTTTTCATAGGATTCAGTGTTAATTCAGGCTCTCAATATGTTGCCAAAGTCTGCAAAAAAAAAAAAAAAAAGGTTCCTACTCTTCCCTTTTCCTTCCCTAAAAATATCTAACTGAATAAAAGTTTATAATCCGTCAACGAAAATTGGTTTCTTTACATTTTCTTCTTCACACATTGAACAATAATAGCAGTGACCTAGATTTTTTTTTTGTCTGCAAATTAAAATATATTCTGAAATCTTAACATTCATCTTAACTGTTGATTTTGTATTTTTAGAACTTGTGTTTTTCACACTTAGCAATTCACAATCAGCTTTAATTTTTTTTTTTTTTTTTTTTTTGAGACAGAGTCTCACCATCGCCTAGGCTGGAATGCAGTGGCGCAATCTCGGCTCACTGCAACCCCCATCTCCCGGGTTCAAGCGATTCTCCTGCCTCAGCCTCCGATTCTCCTGCCTCAGCCTCCCAAGTAGCTGGGACTACAGGCACGTGCCACCACGCCCGGCTAATTTTTTGTATTTTTAGTAGAGACAGGGTTTCACTGTGTTAGCCAGGATGGTCTCGATCTCGTGACCTCGTGATCCACCCGCTTTGGCAGGCAAAGGACACTCTTGCAATTAGACCCCTGGAGGGATCCTTGCAAGTCACTTCTGTCACAGCTTTATGCTCATTGCAAATGGCACCTGAAGGCAGCCGGATGGGTGCACCCCTTACTTCTTTCCAAAGATTTCACAGTCCTGCTTTTTCACAATCTCACTCCGATTCTGCAACGTGATCCCGTTTTTTTTTTCTTTACAAGTCTTAGCATGAATTAAAACCACAACAGGTCACCACCTTCATTATTATCATTGCCCTCTCCCCTCTCGTTTACGCTACTCTGTGTGTCAGAGAAGTCAGCATCCTTCTCCCAGTGGCCTGAATCAGAAAGCCCTGCATGACCCTTGCTGTCTTCTCCTTCAGTGTCCATTTCTAGTCCATCGCCAAACTTTTGCTAAAGTCTCACACCCTAATGTTTTAAATCTATCCTTTTGCAATCTCACCACCCATCTCTGGTCTGGGTTACTGGGATGGCTAATTGTATGTGTCTACTTGGCTAGGCTATAGTACCCAGTGATTTAATCAAATGCTAATCTAAGTGTTGCTGTGATGTATTTTGTAGATGTGGTTAACGTCAACAATCAATTGACATTAAGTAAAGGCGCTTTCCGTTGATAATGTGGGTGGGTCTCATCTCAATCAATTAAAGGCCTTAAGAGCAAAAACTGAGGTGTCCCAGAGAAGAGGTATTTCTGCTTCAAGATTGCAGAATCAACTCCTGCCTGGATGTCCAACCTGCAGGCTTACCCTACAGATTTTAGATGTGCTAGCCCTTGCAATTGTGTGGACCAATTCTTAAGTCTCGATAGATCGATAGATAGATACATAAATACATAGATACAAAGATACATAGAGACATACATAGATAGATAATACAGATATAAGATAGATAGATAGATGATAGACTGTTGATTGTATTTTTCTGGAGAGCCCAGACACACATAGCTATTGTTCTCTCTTAACTGGCATGTTGGTTATCTATTGCTGCATAATAAACTGCCCCCAAACTGATGGCTTAAAACAGTGATTTCATATTCTCTCTCAGTTCCGTGGGCTGCCTGGGCTCAGCTGGGGAATTTTTTTGTTGTTGTTGTTACTGTTTTTGAGACAGGATCTCACTCTGTCACCCAAACTGGTATGCAGTGGCACCATCACAGCTCACTGCAACCTTGACCTCCTGTGATCAAGCAATCCTCCTGCCTCAGCCTCCTGAGTAGCTGGGACTATAGGAGCATGCCACCAAGCCCAGCTAATTTTTGAAATTGTTGTAAAGATGGGGTTTCCCTATGTTGCCCAGGCAACTCCTTGGCTCAAGCGATCCTGCCACCTCAGCAAAGTGTTGGGATTACAGATGTGAGCCAGCACACCCAGCCCAGGGAACTCTTAATGGAGGGCTTTCATAGGGTTGCAGTCCACTGGAGTCATCTGAGAGCTCGCCTGAGTTGGACATCCAAGATGTGACGCTCACATGTCAGTTAAGTTACCATTGACTGCTTACTAGGAATTCAGCTAGAGCTGCCACCTAAAGGATCTTCAAAGGAACCTCCATATGTGACTTGAGCTTCTTGCAGCTCAAGAAGGCTCAATTCCTTTGGGGAATGGCTGGATTCCTTGGGGAAGTGTCCAGAGAATGAACGTTCCAAGAGATCCAGGCAGAAGCCACAACACTTTCTATGACCTCGCATTGGAAATCCCAGAATGTCACTTCTTCTGCCACATTCTACTGGTTCAAGCACTTCCTAAGGCCAGCCCCGATTCAAGCGGAGGAATTTTAGGTTTCATTTCTTGTCATGTGCATGTAGGGAGAGAAAGAGTTGATGGTGGCCACTGCAACACTGTGTCATTGCCTATCTTTCTAACTGATTAGTGGGATCTTTCTGCAGACCCACTAATCTATCCTCACTGAAGCCAGGGTGCACATCCTAAAATGCATATCCCATGTGTCACTTCCATAAATAAGACCCTTCAATGCTTTGCCCTCTCCCATAGAAGAAAGCCACATTGTTGATTTTGTGATGCCTGTAAGACTCTTGCTATAGTTCTCCAGCATTCTCCACCTAGTTCTCCATCTGCCAAGCCACACAGGATTTCTTTCAGAATTTTGCACATTCTATGCTCTCTCTCTCTTCTCCAGGCTTTCACATTCCCTCCTTCCTGCTTCTCAAACAGTCTTTACCCCTCCATCTCCTTCTCCTGCCTCACCTGGCTAGTTCTGTTTAAGTTTTCAGCTTAAGCTTTGTGTCTTCTGGGGAGCTGAGTCCCCATACTTTGGGTGGCTTAGGTACCTTCCAACGTGCTCTTGACGCCATGCCTGGCCCAGTTCCTTGGGCTTGCATGATTGTGGATTTGTACTCAGCCAAACTTGCTTGTACTTTGCTTTAATTACAGAACCAGCAAAATATAAACACAAGATTAGGGAGTGGATTGTCCCACTCAGAGCAGCACCTGAAATGCTCCAGGCATCTCAGTCTCAAAGGTCCACTGTTGTCACAAGAGGAAGTGGGCCTTTGTGCTGCAGTCTCACCCCTTGCAGCTCCTTCTGTGATGCCTCAGAGGTATATAGTAGGCCTGGCCTAGCCCAGCTCTTCCCTCCTCCTCCCCCTGCTGCAGTGTAGACTGACGGCACCGTGTTCTAATTGTTTGCTGTTGTCTCTCTCCCACTAGCTAAGAGTTCTCCATGGGATGGGATGTTCTCTGTCTTTTTTTCTGTTACATTCCTAGTAGTAAGAATAGTACTAAGTGCTTGATTTGTTTATCCATTCATGTCCACGTGAAAAGATATCCTATCTTTCTTGCAGGAGTTTGTCTTGGTTCACCCAGCCCCAAGCAATCTGTTGCCTGGGCATGGATTTTCACCCTTAGCCTTGACTCTGTGCACTCCAGTTTCCAACCTGCAGCCCCTTAACCTGTATCTGGCTGGGTCTTCCCTGGCCCTTGCGAGGGAGGGATTTGGACACTGTTTCCCTCCTTTCTTATGAATATAGCTGGGAACATTCAGCACAGCTTAAGAATATTTAATCACAATTTCCAAAATTTCCAAAGGTGTAGATATTTTCCCACGAAGGACAGATGATGTGGTTTGACTGTGTCCTCACTCAAATCTCATCTTGAATTATAGCTCTCCTAATGCCCATATGTTGTGGGAGGGACCCAGTGGGAGATAATTGAATCACTGGAGTGGTTTCCCCCATACTGTTCTCATGGTAGTGAGTAAGTCTCATGAGATCCGATGGTTTTATAAGAAAAGAGACCCAAGTGGTTTCGCTTGGCTCTCATTCTTTCTTTGCCTGCCACCATGTGAGATGTGGCTTTGCTCCTCCTGGCCTTCTGCCAGGACTGGGAGGCCTCCCCAGCCACGTGGAACTGTGAATCCATTAAACCTCCTTTCTTTATAAATTACCCAGTCTCTGGTATGTCTTTATTAGCAGCGTGAAATCTTACTAATACAACAGAGTTTATTCATGTCTTGTGACAGTGACTGTGTGGGCTTTCTTCTTGACTTTTCCCCCTCTGTGCATCTTTGCCATGGTTTATTTGTGCATATATTAGACAATAATTAGAGGGATATAGGGCAGTATTAAGAGCACACAGCTATTAAGACTAGACTGCCTGTGTCCAAGTCTCAGTCATGTCATTAGCTAGCTGTGTGACCTCAGGCAAGTAACTTCACCGCTCTGACCCAGCTTCTACATCTGAAAAATGGGGACAACAACAGGGATGATAATAGCGCTTCCCTCATAAGGCTTTTATAAGGATTAAATAATATATAAAGTGCTTGGAAGAGTGCTTGAGACAGTACAAGCCATGCATGTATTTATTATTATTATTTATGCATCTATAGACATGAGCTTCAAATACGTTTCCCTTTTTATGCTCCTATCTGAGCCACTGTCTGGCGTCTCTCTTTCCGGGCACTTTCTGTAGAACGTTCTATCTGTGTAAACCTGCTCCTCTGATCACGTGTTTGCATTTCTATCTGTCTATTTCATGTGTCTCTATAATCCTTGGTTTCTGTGGATGACTGTCTTTTGCCTTCTGTCTTCATCTCTTCTGTTTTTCTCAGGGCTCTCTTTCTGTGTTTTATTTCATGTGCCCATTACTTTTCTTTCCTCCTCTGTTTTGTGCAATGTTCACCTGTTTCTTCTTCTTTTCCCTTGGTTTCTGCAGTCTTAGTTTGCTCTTTCTCTTTAACCTCTCCACCTCTCTTCTGCAGGTACCAATAACATCAGAGCTGAAATTTAGAAACTATTTTCTGAGCTCATTAAATAGTTTTCTATTACCTTTTCAAACATTTATGAGCTTACGAATACAATATTTTCTGTGGCTCTCTAGGGGAGAATCAAATTGTTCTTTGCTTGCACAACCGTCTATTGATTTTTCTTCCTGTGGTTCAGTGACCCTTTGTAGAGAAAAGATTCCCTCTATCTTGCTGACCTTTCTTCCTGGACCATAGTTAACAACCGTTGTTCACCTTTGTTACCTTGTTCAGAGGCTTCTTCCACCTTCTGCTTCTCATCTACATTGTGCTGTCCCAGGAGCAAGAAGAGGACAGGCTGGGGGTCTGGGTCATTCCTTGGCATATCCCCAGAGCCTAGCACAGTGCAAGGCACCCGGGATGCCCTTGATGAATATTTGCGAAAGGAATGATTTGCTCTGGGAGTACTGAGGTTTAGGGGAAGACCAAGAAGAGCATCTCATATTGAGCCATTATCATAACGCCCTGCTGCCTTTGTCATTCTTATTTTTATTTTTTGAGAGGGTGTCTCTGTCACCCAGGCTGGAGCATGGTGGCGCGATCTCAGCTCACTGCAGCCTCCGTCTCCTGGGTTCAAGCGATCCTCCCACCTCAGCCTCCTGAGTAGCTGGGACTACAGGCACCCACCACTATGCCCGGCTAATTTTTGTATTTTTAGTAGAGAGGGGGTCTCACCATGTTGGCCAGGCTGGTCTCAAACTTCTGAACTCGTGATCCATCCGCCTTGGCCTCCTAAAGTGCTGGGATTAGAGGCATGAGCCACTGTGCCCAGGCTGTTCTTTCCACCTACTAAATATATCACAAGTCTCCTTCCTCCTCTTTTCAACTTTAAAATTACTTGTTTCATGTAGGCCCTTTTAATCTTTAATTAGGTGACTCTAGTAAAAACCTCGCAGCCATGTCCCAGCTGGCTTTCTTCCCTCTGATCTCCTTCCACTGCCATCCATCCTATATGACCCAAAGAATTATCCTCAAACACAAGTTTATTCATTCAATGAGGAAATATTTATCAAGTGCCTTCTGTGCGCTGGGTTCGGTGTTAACAGCTCCATCACAAAATCTCCCCTAACTCCCAGACTGGTTAAGTGCCCCTCCCCTGTGCTGCTCTCATAGCCTCATATGATAGTGAAATGATACTTAAATGCCAGTGATGCTTTGTGTCTGTCTCTCTTAATACACGTAAGCTCCCAGAGGGCAAGCCCCATCCATGTTTTATTCATATTTGTATTTAATACTTTGCAAATTGTAATACCATGACCTTGGGCCATGGACATCACCGCTGGCTGCTCAGTGAATGTGGGCTGAATTGCTCTATGTATCGGTCTTTGTCTCAGTCAGCTTGGGCTGCTATCATCAAATGGCATAGACAGGGTGGCTTTAACAACTCACATTTATTTCTCACAGTTCTGGAGGCTGTGAAGTATAAGATCAGGGTGCCAGCATGGTTCTGGTAAGTTCTGGTGAGTGCCCTCTTCTGGGTTATAGACAGCCAGCTTCTTTCTTTTTCTTTCTTTCTTTTTGTTTTTTTTTTTTTTTTTTTTTGAGATGGAGCCTTGCTCTGTTGCCCAGGCTGGAGTGCAGTAGTGCGGTCTCCAGTTACTGCAACCTCTGCTTCCTGGGTTCAAGCGATTCTCTTGCTTCAGCCTCCTGAGTAGCTGGGATTACAGGTGGCTGCCAACACACCTGGCTAATTTTTTGTATTTTTAGTAGAGATGGGGGTTTCACCATGTTGGCCAGGCTGGTCTCGAACTCCTGACCTTGTGATCCTCCTGCCTCAGCCTCCCAAAGCGCTGGGATTACAGGCATAAGCCACCGCACCTGGCCCCAGCTTCTTACTGTAACCTCACATTCATCAGAGCTCCACCTTCATGACCCTAAACACTTCCCAAAGACCTCACCTCCTAATACCATCATACTGGGGCTTTGGGTTTCAAAATATTTATTTTGGGGAGACACAAGCATTCAGTCCATATCAGTCCTCATTCTGTATCTTGAAGCTACAGAAGTTAAATCTCATTATTCCTTTACCTTATGGTCCTTAAAATATTTGAAGAGAGCTACTGAATCCTCCGAATCTGCTCTTCTCCAGCCGGGACGTTATTAGTTCTTCACCTACCATGGATTTCAATCTGTTCCCTCCAGACAGGCCCTGGTTTGTCAATTGCCTTTGAAAGTAAGCTTCCACAACAGATCCAAGCACACTAGGCATGGTTTTGAACATTATAGAGTTGTATGTATCTCTGTCTTCCCTTTGTAGCCATGATTCCTTTAAATATACAATTTCAGATCACACTTGAATTTTGGAAAGCCAGTGCACACTGCTGGGTTCTAGAAAGTCAAGTGAAAGCCTGTAAATCTTCCTGACTTCAATGGCCTCTAACCAGAGATGTCTTGTTCTCAACCTGTAATACCAAAGTATTCTTTCTCTTTCACCTTCTCTGGGCCTTGCCTCCCGTAGCTGCACAACACAAGCCCACAGGCAAACACACAGACTCCTGCAGTGTCTAGAGCAGTCACTGGGATATGAAGACTGTGTGTGGAGGCTGGGCAGCTAGGGTGCAGGGGGTAAGTCTTCTACACTATGTGACAGCAATGGAAAGGCCCCTTGAGCCCAGAAAGCTCTTTTATTTTTTGTTAAAGAAGTTCTTCCAAATACGAACTTGAGAAATCTAGAAAAATATTTTGGGTTGTAAGATACAGTGGCTCAGATAAGAACATTTTAATTTCCCCCATTGCACACCATGGTTTTGCTGGAAATAAATTTTTGGTGCTGCAAAAGAAATAACACTCAAACATAAATTTTCTCAGCAAGGCAATTTTACTTCTATAGAAGGGTGTGTCTCATGAAGGGAGCAATGGCGAGAGCACACCTGAACAAGGGAGGGGAAGGGGTTCTTATCCCTGACACAGGAAGCTCCTACTGCTGCGACATTCCCATATTGGCTGGGTTTGGACCGCACAGTCTAAGCTTAATTCCGATTGGCTGTTTTAAAGAGAGCAGAGGTATGAGCCAGAGTGGCGGGGTGAGCAGTTTTGGCAGGAAAGACAGTTACGGAACACGTGACTAAAGGTGACACAGGTCAGAGCAGGTGACCAGGGGTGACTCAGGATGGAGCAGGTGACCAGGGGTGACTCAGGACGGAACAGGTGACCAGGGTGACTCAGGACGAAGCAGGTGACCAGGGGAACAGATGTGAACTACTGATGAGAACTGGTGGGAAGGTTGTTTACGGAAACTAGGGGCAAGGAGACGAAGAGAACGAGGAAGTTAAACTTTAAGATGGAGAACAAAGAACTGAACATATCGACATACTGATTCTTTCAAGAGAAACTTAGAACTCACTGTATTTATCAGTTCTTTGCAGTGCAAGCCCTGGCAATGGCTTTAGAGGAATAGTTTGAATTCTGGGTTTGAATCTTTGCTTTGCTACTTACTGCCTTACAAGTCATCTTTCTAAACCTTTTTATTTTCTTTCCTACAGGATCACAAACACTATAAAGGCAGAGACAATGCTTGATTTATTGACCAATGTGTAGCCAGCACTTCTCATAGAGCTCAATATTTAATAGGTGCTAAATAAATATGAATGAGTGAATGAACGTGTCATATGTGACCTTCTTAACTTTATGATCCTAAGTTATCCTCATCTATAAAATGAGAATATTAATTGCATCTATTTTGTAGGGCTATTGTAGGGTTTAAGTGAAATAATCTATGTAAAATATTTAGCATGCAGTGAGAATGCACTAAATGTTGGTTATTGTTATTATTGGTCAATCCATGAATTACATGTCAAATGAGGCAAGAAGAGAAGTAAAAAAAGGGGGCACCAACAGGAGACAGGCAAGTGCTGGATTGTTGGCCTATGTATGTTATATTTTCGTGAAGAAAAAGAAATGTGGCCATTTTAGAAATGATTTGGATGGTAAGTAAATCCTTTGACTTTCTGCTGTGCTTACATTTTAAAACTCTTTTTCCTAGGACCCTCATTAGAATCATGGAGAATGAATTCTGGAAAGGTAGCTCTTTATCAATACCTGGAAAGTGCCTGCAGCCTCTACCTTATGGGAACTTTTTCACATCTCATTAGGGAGGCTCAGAGTTTAATAAACAGAAGAGGTGCCTGGGAGCCATGGGTTTGGGCCTTTAGGTCGTTAGCCTCGGTCTGTGAACTGTAAGCCTTAAGTAGTTGTTAACACTTCATGGAAATCCAGGAAGCACTGCATTTAGAACTGAAGAAGAATTTTGACCTGAGACTTGAAACAAATAAAAACAAACAAACAAAAGAAACAGAAAAAGAAAATAGCACCTACAGTGAAAAAAAAAAGGAATTTTTACAATTTTAATAAAGATCCCTTTCTCAAAAGGAATTTGTAATGCAAAGATGATTTGACATCTGGATGCAAAGGTGATTTTGCAGATCTTCGATTTCATCCTTATAGATCCAGGTGAAAAGCACTAAGTCAGATTCTCCCAGAACCAACCTACTCCTTGAAAGTTAAGCATTTTTCAAAGTATATGAACTCTCCTGAATTCTAGAACTCGGTGCAGTACAGAAAGTCTCAATTCTTTCCTTGGGGGATGCCACATGGATGGGCAGTGTATGCTCTTTTGAACCTGGGTTGCATGGAGGAAATTGCTGAAGGTAGAACGCAGCAAGAGTTAGACTCGCAGCAAGCCAGAGGCTTCTTTTCAATTTATTTTAGGGTGCATTGTTCGGGTCACCTGATAATCCTGCTCCCATAGGGCAGCTTATACATCTTCCACGTAAAAGGAGAGCCTCAAATGTCTCAGTTATACAGGCTTTGAAGCATTTATATGTACATTGTATGATAGCCTTTGAATTGAGTCTAGGTAGGTTTTTAGCAAGACGCTACCAGCATTACTTTGGGAACAACTATCTATGCTATGGTGGTACCATTTTGGAAAGCATCCAAGGGGAACAGGCTTAGATAATGACATTTCCCCAATTACAACATACTCTAGTGTAAACTGTAGAAAAGTGGATGTCAAAACACAAAGGTTTGAGTTGTTTACAAACTGTATGCTTTGGTCATATAACTTACCCTCTCTCAACCCCAATTTTCTCATCTTTAAAATGGGAATAACAGCCGGGCACGGTGGCTCACGCCTGTAATCCCAACACTTTGGGAGGCCGAGGCGAGCGGATCACTGAGGTCGGGAGTTCAAGACCAGCCTGACCAACATGGAGAAACTCCTTCTCTACTAAAAATACAAAATTAGTCAGATGTGGTGGCACATGCCTGTAATCCCAGCTACTTGGGAGGCTGAGGCAGGAGAATCAATTGAACCCGGGAGGTGGAGGTTGTGGTGAGCTGAGATCGCGCCATTGCACTCCAGCCTGGGAGGGAAGAGTGAAACTCCGTCTCAAAAAAAAAAAAAAAAAAAAGAATAGTATTTTCTGCCTCCTTGTGTGCTGTGGAAATCGGGTGGGGGTAATGGCAAAAGTGTACAGTGTTTTACCAGGTTAAGGCTTGTGCCTACTAATCTGGTGGGGATATTTACTGCCATGGAAGGTGAAACCTTGCATTATAGACAACTGAGATGTCATGGAAATGGCAGGATTTCTGATGAATACCCACAGTGTCCTCCATTTCTTAATGTATCCTCTTCTTTTTACCCAAGAAGGGAGCAATGGCCATACCCATTATTGTGAACATGTCTAGTTGACTTTAGAGTCACCCAAGATCAGAACTGATTCTGACTTTAGGGGTGATGGGAAATAGCATAATAGAGATAAAAATTCCATTTTGTTTTATTTGTTGTAAGCAGGTCAGCTTTATACCAACACTGGCTCTTACTCTCTGGCACATGGATGAGCTGGAAAGTGACAAAGAGCATATGCTTATCACTCCGCCACCGCACACAAAAGCTGGAAAAGTCCCCTTAGCCTGTGACATCTTAGATTATAATTCTGATATTTTTCCTGGGAGATTATAACGAGTGCTTTGGGGTTGAATGTTGATTTTTGATAGTGAGATCTTCAAAAGTTGCAAGGGGGATGGCTAAACCAACTCTGGTACATCCATACCATGGACTACTACTCCAGGAATAAAGAACAGTCTGCTGCTACACAAGGTGTATTAGTCTGTTCTTGCACTGCTCTAAAGAAATAACCGAGATGGGGTAATTTATAAGGAAAAGAGGTTTAATTGGCTCACGGCTCTGCAGGCTGCACAGGAATCGTGGCTGAGGAGGCCTCAGGAAACTTATAATCATGGCGGAAGACAAAGAGGTGGCAGGCTCTTCTTAAACGGCCGGAGGAAGAGAGAGAAGGGGAGGTGCTTCACACTTTAAAACAACCAGATCTCGTGAGAACTCAGTCACTATCACGAGAACAGCTAGGGGGAAATCCACCCCCATGATCCAGTCACCTCCCACCGGGCCCCTCCTCCAACACGGGATTACAATTCGTCATGAGGTTTGGATGAGGACACAGACCCAAACCATGTCATATGGTAGCATATATGAATCTCAAAACACATTTAGGCTGAGTGAAAGAAGTCTTACCTAAAAGCATACATGTAGGCCAGGCATGGTGGCTCACACGTGTAATCCCAGCACTTTTGGAGGCCGAGGGGGGTGGATCAACTAGGGTCGGGAGTTTGAGACCAGCCTGGCCAACATGGTGAAACCCCGTCTCTACTAAAAATATAAAAATTAGTTGGGTGTAGTGGCGGGCACCTGTAATCACATCTATTCGGGAGGCTGAGGCAGGAGAATCGCTTGAACCTGGGAGGTGGAAGTTGCAGTGAGCTGAGATCGGGCCACTGCACTTCAGCCTGGGTGAGGTAGTGAGACTCCACCTCAAAAAAAAAAAAAAAAAGCACACATGTGATATAATTCTGTTCATATACTAGAACAGGAAAAACGAATCTGTGGTGAAAAATCATCACAAAAGTGTCCTCTGGGGCTTGGCGGAGGGTCGGGAGATAGGAAGTGTTTGAAGGTGACATGCACTCAGATCTATAATTTACTTTGAATTGCAACAAGTACAACTATAAAATTGGATTAATGGACAGATACACAATAAGGCAAATATAGTGAAAAGTTAATTGTCAAATCTAACTGCTGGTTATTCAAGCGCTTATTGTCCAGTTCTTTTAACTTTCCTACAGGTTTGGAAATTTTACACGATATTTAAAATATATAATTTAAGAAAAAGGCCCAGTGCGGCGGCTCAGGCATGTAATTCCAGCACTTTGGGAGGCTGAGGCGGGCAAATCACTTGAGGTCAGAAGTTCGAGACCAGCCTGGTCAACGTGGTAAAACGCCATTTCTACTTAAAATACAAAACATAAGCCGGGCGTGTCGGTGCACGACTGTAGTCCCAGCTACTTGGGAGACTGAGGTAGGAGAATTGCTTGAACCCAGGAGATGGAGGTTGCAGTGAGCCAAGATCCCACCACTGCACTCCAGCCAGGGCAACACAGTGAGACTCTATCTAAAAAAAAAAAAAATTCAGCAAAAACTCTATTAATGTTTTAAAAAGCATAAGGAGAAATCTGATTTAGTGTTTTTGGTGATGCAATATTCTTGAGGGCATTGAATATCCTTAGAGAAATTGTTTGCCAAAGGTAAATGAGAATTTATTATGTTGCTTTTTCTCAAAATGCTGGATAAAAGAGCCACTAAAAATTATATACGCATAAGAATTTCTGAATTTGCAATATGTCACACAAATTTTTATCAAATTAAATGTATAATTAAAAACTACTTAGTATCATGTTTTTGACTACACACCATTTCATTTTCATTTTTTCTCTTTTGTTAATCTCCATGAACCATCTTTTTTGAATGGTAGGTTGTAAAATACAAAAAGAAATAATAAGTGGGTGACAGAATCCAATTAAGAAGGATATACTATTTTAATGAATATTTTAACATATTTAACTGATAAGAAGTATTTTTAAAAACCTTAACTTTGAGGTGCAAATATTACCCCTACTTTTCACGTCTTGAGAATTATTGGAATTCAGAAGACTAAATTTTAGATGACCTTGACAAATTAGATCGTTGTATTTTTGCAAAAGGGCAAAATTCAGTAGAAACATGTTTGGAAGCTTACTTTTCAGGACTAAACCAATAATAGAAGTGTGGACTGAGGAAGGACTATTTCTAATGACTCACTACCATCAACATTTCTTGCTGAATATTCACTGACTCTTGTCTTATGACTGGATCTGGCTTGGATACAGATTTTTAAGTAATACGGAGAAATAAGTTGAGGTTTAAAGAGAAACAAGATGACTAAAACCATGAAAAACTGGTCCTATGAGGAAAACCTGAGAGAAGAGAAAATTCTGTAAACTCTGCAAGACTGAAAAAGGCTAAAGCTTTGCTTGATTTCCATTTTCAAGTACGTGAAGTATTTTCACAAGGAGATTCTATGAAAACCTAACAAGGAAAATAGATTTACATTAAAACATAGTTTCGTTGTGCAAATGCAGAAATCTCTTTGACTTTAAGGTTGATTAAACCCTGGAACAATTATCAAGAGACTTTAAGGCATCTACATCATTGGAGAATTAAAGAAATGAAATATGAATTCTAAGTGGTTCTACATGCACTTGCCAGAGGTTGGGGGTTAACTCAGATGATCCTTGAAAGCACTTCCTAGGTCTACATTCCAATAATAATGTTTCACTCCATGGTAATCATTTTGAAACGTAGCTTGGTATTAATTTATGCTTTGCTGGGCTTTCTACAAGGAATGGCAACTTTAAATTCACCCCACTTAAAAATTCACTGTATATTTCTTTTTTTCATTGGACTTGTCTGATAATAAATGATTATGTATTGTTTTAGTGACTGTGATACTGTTCTTAACTTAGTTTCTGTATTTTATTATTATAATAATAATAATAATTTTTTTTTTTTTTGAAACGGAGTCTCGCTCTGTCGCCCAGGCTGGAGTGCAGTGGCGCTACTGCGGCTCACTGCAAGCTCCTCTTTCTGGGTTCACACCATTGTCCTGCTTCAGCCTCCCAACTAGCTGGGACTACAGGTGCCTGCCACCGTGCCCGGCTAACTTTTTGTATTTTTAGTAGAAATGGGGTTTCACCGTGTTAGCCAGGATGGTCTCGATCTCCTGACCTCGTGATCCGCCCGCCTCGGCCTCCCAAAGTGCTGGGATTACAGGCGTGAGCCACCGCGCCCAGCCTGTATTTTATAATTATTATAAAATCATTACAATGAATCCTCTCATTTTTTGTCTTTAGTGTTATAACAGTATCATCAGAAGAAAGTTCGTATTTTTAAAAATGTTATATTCATGAGCATTTTCTATTGGTGAGTAGGTCCCTACCTAAGTGTGTTTAACTGCTTTGCCATTTATCTTGCCAAGTCACCATGCTACAATCCAGGGCCAGTTAGAAGTCTAGTGAGATTTAAAAAAAAAAACCAGGTGCAGTGGCTCACGCCTGTAATCCCAGCACTTTGGGAGGCTGAGGGTGCAGATCACTTGAGGCCAGGAGTTCAAGATCAGCCTGGCCAACATGGTTGGACCCTGTCCTTACTAAAAATACAAAAATTAGCCGGACATGGTAGCAGGTGCCTTTAGTCCCATCTACTCAGGAGGCTGAGGCAGGAGAATTGCTTGAACCCGGGAAGTGGAATTTGCAGTGAGCTGAAATTGTGCCGCTGCACTCCAACCTGGGGGACAGAGCAAGACTGTAGCAAAAAAAAAAAAAAAAAAAAAAAATATATATATATATATATATATATATATATATATATATATATATATCCCAGCACCATTTATTAAGTAGGGAATCCTTTCCCCTTTGCTTGTTTTTGTCAGGTTTGTCAAAGATCAGATGGTTGTAGATGTGTGGTGTTATTTCTGAGGCCTCTGTTCTGTTCCATTGGTCTATCTCTCTGTTTTGGTACCAGTACCACGCTGTTTTGGTTACTGTAGCCTTGTAGTATAGTGTGAAGTCAGGCAGGATGATGCCTCCAGCTTTGTTCTCTTTGCTTAGGACTGTCTTGGCTATATGGGCTCTTTTCTGGTTCCATATGAAATTTAAAGTAGTTTTTTCTAATTCTGTGAAGAATGTCAATGGTATTTTGATGGGAATAGCATTGACTCTATAAATTATTTTGGGCAGTATGGCTGTTTTCACAATATTGATTCTTTCTATCCATGAGGATAGAATGTTTTTCCATTTGTTTGTGTCCTCTCTTATTTCCTTGAGCAATGATTTGTAGTTCTCCTTGAAGAGGTCCTTCACATTCCTTGTAAGCTATATTCCTAGGTATTTTATTCTTTGTGGCAATTGTGAATGGGAGTTCAGTCATGATTTGGCTCTCTGCTTGTCTGTTGTTGATGTATAGAAATGCTTGTAATTTTTGCACATTGATTTTAAACTAAAGAGCTTCTGCACAGCAAAAGAAGCTAGCATCGGAGTGAACAGGCAACCTACAGAATGGGATTTTTGCAATCTACCCATCTGACAAAGGTCTGATATCCAGGATTACAAGGAACTGAAGCAAATTTACAAGAGAAAAAGAACCCCACCAAAAAGTGGACAAAGGATATGAACAGACACTTCTCAAAAGAAGACATTTTATGCAGCCAACAAACATGAAAAAAAGCTCATCATCACTGATCATTAGAGAAATGCAATTCAAAACCACAGTGAAATACCATCTCAGGCCCATCAGAATGGCAATTATTAAAAAGTCAAGAAATAGCACATTGGGAGGCTGAGGCAGGCAGATCACTTGAGGTCAGGAGTTCGAGACCAGCCTGGCCAACATGGTGAAACCCTGTCTCTACTAAAAAAATTAACCAGGCATAGGTGGTGCACACTTGTAATCCCAGCTACTCAGGAGGCTGAGGCAGGAGAATCACCTGAACCCAGGAGGCAGAGGTTGCAGTGACCCAAGATCATGCTACTGTACTCCAGTGTGGGAGATTGAGTGAGACTCTGTCTCAAAAAATAAAAAAACAAAGTCAAGAAATAGATGCTGGTGAGGCTGTGGAGAAATAGGAATGCTTTTACACTGTTGGTGGGAGTGTAAATTAGTTCAACCATTGTGGAAGACAGTATGATTATTCCTCAAGGATCTAGAACCAGAAATACCATTTGACCCAGCAATCCCATTACTGGGTATATAGGCAAAAAAATATAAATCATTTTACTATAAAGGCACATGTACACGTATGTTTATTGCAGCACTGTTTACAATAGCAAAGACATGGAACCAACCCAAATGCCCATCAATGATAGATTGGATAAAGAAAATATGGTAAATATACACCATGGAATGCTACGCAGCCATAAAAAGGAATGAGATCATGTCCTTTGCAGGGACATGGATGAAGCTGGAAGACATCATCTTCATCAAACTGACACAGGAACAGAAAACCAAACACACCACATGTTCTTACTTATAAGTGGGAGTTGAACAATGAGAACACATAGACACAGAGAGGGGAACATCTCACACTGGTGCCTGTTGGAGGCAAGGGGAGGGAGAGCATTGGGACAAATACCTAATGCATGTGGGGCTTAAAACCTAGATGACGGGTTAATAGGTGCAGGAAACGACCATGGCACACATGTACCTATGTAACAAACCTGCATGTCTGCATATGTATCCCAGAATTTAAAGTAAAATTAAAAAAGAAATCAAAATAAGATTAAACAAAAGACAAAAGAAGAATGAAAAAAAAGAGAGTCAGTCCCAGTCCTCAAGGGATATGAAACCTGGAGGACAAAAATCAAAGTCATCTTTGTGAATAATTATCTTCTTTTTGAAAGTCAGTTTGGCAAAATCCTCTTCGGCATTGTCCATCGTGGTCTGCATTTTCGGTTTCTTAATCTTATACTTTGGCTTCCTTTTCATCCTTTTCCTTTGCAGAGCCAAACTTGCTTCCTGCTGTGATGCTGTTCAAAACTTTGTTGTTTCTCAGAATAACACTCCAGTTGGGACTAATATGAGTTACGAGGTGGAAAGCAAAAAAGAAATCCCAATTAAGAAGAACATTTTTCATATGTTTCCAGTGGTGAGTAAAGGTTTCTGGTGGGTTATTTGTGTTACCATTCCAGGTGAATTTTCTTTTACTTTAAGCTGTAACTTACAATTATGATGGACTCAATTAAAATACCATATTGTTATGTTGTATAAAATTTGGACAGTGAGCCATTTTTTAAAAGGGCCATTTTGAATGCAGTGTGGCTCTGTAGGGAAGGATTATTTATATCTTAAATGATAAGCTCTTCCAGTCCTGTCTTCCAGACTCTTCTTCGAATGAGATGAGACACTCGGGCTTCCTGCTTAGTAATTACTGAGGCTTGTGAAGACGGCCATTTTTCATCTCAAATAAGATTCTTCCAATTGTCAGTTATGGTGACTAAATCAATTCCTTCCCAAGGAACGGTGCGTTTATGTGGCTCATCTTTGGGAAGTAAATATGTAAGAATTTATAGTCAATAAACGTACCCACCATAAGATAGAGATTGTTGTCTGCTGTGTTCACAGATATATCCCAAACCCCTAGAACATTTCCCAGTACATATATGCACTCACTACCAATTTGTAAAATTAGAAAAATGAGTAATGATATGATATAAAACCACTTCACACAGTTAGGAGAAACTCGACCCTTAATGCAAACCCACACTTGGGGAAGTTTTGGTTCTGAGGAACATAAACATCTCATTGCTTATAAACATACACTCTCCAGCGTCTTTCTATGATTCCATTAAAAAACAATTAGGCCATATCAAGATGGTCAAAATAGGATCCCTCTATATGTGCAGTATACTAACTGTAGGATATGAGATTCTTACAGTTTTCTTTTATTGGAGCTTTGACCTCTTTCAGCTAATTTTTGTTGCTCATGTAAATTGTTCCAATTTTTTTTATATTAGGATTTAGAGGAAGAATAACTAGCTGAGAATGAATGAGAAATAAATAGAAAATGATAGAGAAAAAATACTGTAAATTTTCTGGAAGAAAAAGGGACAAAAATATAAAGCTTTCTCATGACGCCCTGAAATGACCAGTGATTGAAAAGATGATAAGGAAAGAGTATTTATCTTTCCTATCAGGGAAAGCCTTGGAAAGTTTGACAGTGAGCCCTTTCACTCATTCATCCATGCAGGTTTTGCCAGTGTCTGCCATGTTTTCAACTGACCAGAACAGAGGAGCAGCAACTGCTTTACCCTCATTTGGCACTTTGAAAGGATTAACTTAATATAGGCCTGATAATTATGTATGTAACTGGGAACTGCATCTGCTTTCCAAATTTATACTGATTTTCTTTTTTAAACTGGGGAGAGGAAATTCTGCAGTCAATACAGCAGCAATTGCAGAGCCAGGTCCCTATTTTTGTGTTGCTCCAGCCTTCTCCTTTCATAGACGGGGCTCGTGGTGGAAATGTCCTCTTTCCCACGTTGCTTTACTCTGCCCTTCTGCATGAAACTCTCCAGGACGAACTGCTGGGCACACAAGAAGACGGCATTAAACGTTTTAATGAAATGATATGGAGCCACTTCCTCCACAAACTTGGCTAAGTTACTTGCAGAGAAAAAAATAAAAGTTGATTTTCAACCAGAGTGGGCAATGAGCAGGCAGTGGAGCGTGCACATTTGCATTTTCTCAGGAGGTTTATTTAAGGAAACGTTGAGATTTGTAATTTATTTAAATTCATACTGAACATGAGATACTAAAGCATATAGATGTTTTCCTCCCAGTTGACCAAGAAACCAGAGAAAAACATTCCTTATTGTGAGTGCATAATTTGAGATATGTTTCCTTCAGTAATCTTTTCTATTTTATACCATAATGAGCCTATTTGCATTTTTGCATCCTACCCTATCTATAAACTTCAGAATTTATGGTGGCACCATTTAGTAGATACTGGCTGAAGACATCTTGAGCTAGAAGTTCAGTGACATGAAATAGCCTGAGGTATCTAGGAACCATTCATTTAAGAGCCAGTCACTCTGCTAGCCATTGCAGATATAACCAGGAATAAGATACATAATTATACATAATTAAGTTATCATTTTAATCCATGGAATTGTAAGAAACGATAATGTGTAGTGGTTTAGAGCAGGTACTCTGGAGCAAACCGCCTGGGTTCCTATCCCAGTTCTGCCACTTTCTAGCTGTTACTTGGACTCATGCCTCCATTTTCGCATCTGTAAAATACTCAAAAGGTTGCTGTGTAGGTTAAATGTGCTAATAAAGTATGTACTTGAAATAGTGCCTCTTGCATAAAAAGTGCAATATGACTTTTACATTTCAAAGGCAAACCTACAAAGAGAGTTGTACTGAAACCGAGTTTCTTTGCTAGTTGGGCAGCTCCCAGAGCCAGCATTAGGGGCAGACAGCAGTCACAATGATTCTGGGGCATCTTCTGTCACTCCGGACTGCTCAGAACCACATCGGCCCTGGGCTGTTGTCAGTTGGGCTGGTAAACTGACTTTGACAAGGGCGATGTGCCTTGATTTTGCAACCTTTGCCAAATTCAGTGGTGTCAATACCCCCACCCTGGACAATTTTTAGTTACCAATGCTTTAAAAAACCAGCTCACAAAATTCCTGAATATTTACCAGTGGCCCCTTCAATGGTTACAGGCCAGGGTCAGGTTCGTTCTGCGCACGTGCAGTAAATTAATTCCCGTGATACCGGTTTTGCAAAAGAAATAAGATTTATTCACAGAGCCACCTAGTGAGAAGGTGGGAGAGCTTGTTGAAAGCCCATGAGATGGGTATTGAAAGCTGTGCACATTGCACTACACAAGATCAGGAGGGAAAAATGAGGGGAAATTAAAGGAAATTAAAAATAATAAACAGCCTCTCTGCTCTTGAGGACTTACACCTTAATCCTACAGACAAAATCGGTAGATCAGGACCTCATCACTGGGAAGCACGAGCCGGCACCCTGGCCGTGGGCTCAAGGTCACATTATTACTTCATGGAAAGTGACCAGGAGAGGGAAGGAAAGCGCACCATTGAATTGAAAAGTTAGATTTCAGTCTGCAGAGAACTTGGGGAAAATAGGAAACCTTCTGGGGTAAGCAGGCCAGGTCCTAAAAGGAATAAGAAAGATTCAGGTCTTGGAAATTAATTTGAAATATGTCAGTCCAGTTGGTAGGCCTCCCTGAAGCACGCTGGCTGGTCATTCGCAGAGACGGCAGGCATAAATCTAATGCCTTACTGAGCCTGAAGGTCTAACTATTTAAGAAGCACAGGAAATTTTTGCTAAATCACCTATTAATTTTATGCCTTAGAATAGATTTAATGCTGCTTCCTAATTTCTTTATTTTCTCTTTCTTGCTGAAAATGTCCTTGTTTATCAGAAAGGCAGAATATGGGGTTTTGCCATTCTAATTTTTTTCCTTAATTATGTGATGAAAAATACATGATACTGTATTTTGTATTATTACATTATGCCGTGTATCCTATGATGTCTATTTCTCTCAAGAGAAATGAAACTTAGGTTCACATAATGATTTATTTTATTTTATTTTACTTACACATTTTTTAAAATTTAAGAAACAGAGTCTTGCTCTGTCGCCCAGGCTGGAGGGCAGTGGTGCAATCATGGCTCACTGCAGCCTGGAACTACTAGGTTCAAGTGATTCCCCTACCTCAGCCTCCCAAGCAGCAAAGACTACTGGCGCTCTTCACCAAACTCAGCCAATTTTTCTACTTTTTGTAGAGACAGAGTCTTGCTTTGTTGCCCAGGCCCATCTTAAACTCTTGGCCTCAAGTGACTCTCTCATTTTGGCAGCCTCCCAAAGTGCTGGGATTACAGATGTGAGCCACTGCACCTGGCTGGTTTTTTGTTGTTGTTGTTGTTTTGTTTTGTTTTGGAGACGGAGTCTCATTCTGTTGCCCAGGCTGGAGTGCAGTGGTGCCATCTTGGCTCACTGCAACTTCCACTTCCTGGATTCAAGCAATTCTCCGCCTCAGCCTCTCGAGTAGCTCGGATTACAGGCACCCACCACCACGCCCAGCTAATTTTTTTGTATTTTTCGCAGAGACGGGGTTTCACCATCTTGGCCAGGCTGGTGTTGAACTCCTGACCTTGTGATCCACCCTCCTTGGCCTCCCAAAGTGCTGGGATTACAGGTGTGAGCCACTGCGCCCAGCCCCAGCTGGTTCTTTATGCTAAGTCATAGTAAGTTGATTAGCAAACTGGGCTGCTGCTTTTTCTTGTTCGTATTCTTCTCCTTAGCATGTATAAAGAGTTAAGTTACTAGAATTAAGCTGTTGTCTATGGTTCTAAAATTAACGGTATTTCATGGTAGTTTTCCACTTTCTCCTGCTAGTCCCAGCCTTTTGTGGACTACCCTTATAATCAGTGTGCAGTGGTCGGAAATGGGGGAATTCTGAATAAGTCTCTCTGTGGAACTGAAATAGATAAATCCGACTTCGTTTTTAGGTAAGACCTGACAAATTGGTTTCTTTGAAACAATAGATCAGTTGGGTATTTCAGAGGGGGATAGTGTAAAGATATCCATTGTATATTTTCACCTTTGAGCTCTGTTACAAAAGTCTACAAATTACCCGGGAAGGTTTCCTGAAGTGTTATGTGGCTCATGAGTTCCTCAGAATGTCAATACCAGAAGAAACAAAATGTGCTATGTTTATATATGTTTAGGAAACTCTGGGTGAAATTGTGGTGAAAGAGGGTTTGGTAGTGCAGGACCTTTCAGAGCGTTCAGTACGTTAATGGCTACCTTGGGAGGACTCCAGAGGGCAGCATGTCTCAGGCTCACCTGACCTTGAAGATCTTTTTTTATTTGTTTGTTTGTTTTTGTTTTTGTTTAACAGCGCATTTCAAGGATGTTTTGTTCTTAGACAATACTTGGGAAAATGCTGATCAAGACATTTTTCAGCCCTGCAAACTGTATCATTATTTCGTTTTCTGGCTTGCAATTTAAAAAACAAATTTGTACAGCTTCTAAGTTCTGGTCTTTTAAAATGTTTTCTATCTGAATATCAGCTAGCATGCAAAAATAGAAACAAAATGGTTTTTCTGTGTGCCTTGTACTAATAAGCCATACCAAAGCATCTCCACTGTCTCAGTGTAATGGAAAGGTAATTTATCCTTCTGAGGATGGGTTTCAATTGAAATGCACCTTTTCAAAGAGTAAGTGGAAGTCTGGTTCTTCCTGTTTTAGGAGCACTGATTTCATACATCAGAGGAGATGCTTTGATCCCTCTTGATTTAATGCTGCCCTTTTAAGCAATTGAAAAAGAAACAGGGTTTCTAGTAAACAGCTCCCTCCCAATTTCAATCTCATTTTTAAATTTTGTGCTGCAGGTAATGATGAAGCCACAATAGACCCGACAGTGCAACAATTATTGAATGTGTTCTTCATGATTACTGTTAAAATGGCCAATATCTGAATGGTTTACACATTTTGTTCAAGTATCCAGTGTGAAAAAGCCATAAGGAAGATAATTCTTCTTGCAGTAGACTTTTTATAGGCTTAAAATTCCCAAAACATCTGTAATGAGGATCAGGCCTAAACATTCATTATACTTTATAGCAAGTATAGGCAATACAATAAGTTTTGATTTAAAACCCAGAAGAAAAATATCTCAGCAGATATTTCACTTATAATTCTAAAATAACTGTCTATGTTTCTAGATTCCACACTTGCTGATGAGAGGTATTTTCCCGAATATAGAATTTCCTTTAAAACTAGCCATTTGAACTGAAAGGCAAAATGAGGGCTAGACGTGTTTGGTGTCATTAAAATATACTTAATTTTTTAAGCCTGTACTTATTTTGGTGCTTCAGGTTGACAGTTCAGAAAACAAACTTTTATTTTTCATTTCAAAAGATTTGGAGCTATGAATAAAGTGTGTGAGGAACAAAAATAGGCAATGACTATATATACTACTGCTATATATGACTATACCAGTTTATATATACACATATATGTATTACAGTAGTAGTAATATATAATCACATATATATTACAGTAGTAGTAAAATATATAATCACATATATATTACAGTAGTAGTAATATATATAATCACATATATACTGTCGTATACTGTAATACATATAATCCAGTAGTATTTATATATTACATATTATATATACATATTATACATATGTATGATAAATATATAATACTGTGTTATAGATAGTATGTAATATATTGTACATTGTATAGTATATAATATAGTATATTGTATACTATATAATATACTATATAATACAGTATTATATGTAATTATATACGTATAATATGTATACATTACATATGTACATATTATATAACAATATGCATACATTTTATAAATCTATAATAGCATATATACATATATTCTGTATAAAATTATATAACAGTATTATATGTAATTATATATGTATAATATGTATACATATATACATATAATAAATACAATTATATAACAGTATTATGTGTTATATATTTATAATATGTATACATATTATATATTACATATTATATACACATTATGTGTTATATATGTATAATATGTATGCATATTATATATTACATATTATATATACATGTTATATATAATATACATATATTACATATATGCATATTATATAATATACTAATATTACATATAATATATAATCTATAATATGTATGCATGTACATATATAATACATGCATACATACCATGCATGCATGGTATGGTACATACCATGACCTATACTACTGTTTGTGTGTGTGTGTGTGTGTGTGTGTGTGTGTATACTCTATATTCAGGAAAATACCTGGCATCAGCAAAAGTAGAATCTAGAAACACAGGCATTTTAGACTCATGAATTAAATATATTCTGAGATATTTTTCTTTTAAGTTTTAAGCCAAAACTTATTGTATTTCCTCTATAAAATACCCTTCCCTATGGAGTCTCCTATGATATTCTACTAGAAATCACTTTTGATTATTCAGAAGAATATGAGACTGTTCTGGAAAGGACATATGTTGTGGGAGGCCCACTACTGAGATCACCTTTATGGCCTAGTACCTATGATTAATCTTTATCATTGAATATGTATTATTGATATTTGATTCATATTTATTTTACCAAGGTGCCGTATTTATTTTATTTTCTGACATAGCTTTTATATCAATGAGGGAAGTTCATGTTTCATTCATTCATGTGTTTTATAGGACATGGTACAGCTTATTTCATCTTCTGTCATGTTATAGACCACATCAACTTTGAACAACCTTCCTTAGGAAGCACTCAAAGATGCTCCCTTCTTATGTTTAGCCTTACTACTTGAAATTCAGTAAATGATATTTAGAAAGTCATAGCCAATTTTTCCTTTTTTGTGACAAGAATATAATTACTCAAAATTAGAATTCTTAATTTGTTTTCCAATTTAAAAGCAAATTAGTACTCAAAGGAAGATGAGAACATCAGTTTGAAAACATCACTATAAGAACATTAGGATTTTATTTATTAAAACCATAATTTGGTGGCAAAACTATCCACATGGGAATTGGGAGGTTTTGATTTGTTTAATTTAGTCTTTGCTTCTGGCAGACTGTATAACTTTAGTCACAGTACATCAAGTTTTTAAGAATATGCCAATTGGTGATCATACCACTATGGGAACATAATCAATAGAAATAATATAAATAACAATTTTAATAAAAGGATTGGGAACTCTTCTAAACTTAGACAAGGTGTAATTGTCATTTCTGGCTTTGATACTTATAAAAGTTATTATCCATATTGAAAGCATTTATCAAATTTGTAATTTTCGCCGGGCACAGTGGCTCACACCTGTAATCCCAGCACTTTGGGAGGCCAAGGCAGGTGGATCACTTGAGGTCATGGGTTCAAGACAAGCCTGGCCAACATGGTGATACCCTATCACTACTAAAAATACAAATTCGCTTGGTGCATGCCTTTAGTCCCAGCTACTCAGGGGGCTGAGGCAGAAGAATTGCTTGAATCCGAGAGGCGGAGGTTGCAGTGAGCCCAGAGCACCACTACACTCCAGCCTAGGCAACAGAGCGAGACTCTGCCTTAAAAAAAAAAAAAAAAAAAAAAGGTGTATATTTTATACAACATTGAAATGTCAACTAAGAACTGAGTAATTATTAAAGTAAATAATTTAAAATAGAAACCAAATGGATTCTGAGGGTCTCAATAGCAATGATTTCTCCAACATAAGAACAATTATTATAGATAGGTGTGTGTGTGTGTGTGTGTGCGCGCATATGTGTGTATACAATCTTTTTTCTACAAGTTCTATTTTGAAAATGATTTTCTTTTCAAATTTCAGGTGTAACCTACCCCCAACCACAGGAGATGTTAGTAAAGATGTTGGCAGTAAAACAAATCTTGTGACTATAAATCCAAGCATCATAACTCTGAAGTAAGTAGCTGCAAGTTACATAACTGATCAGGAACACTTTTTCATTGTTCAACATGTTTCTCAGCTTAAGCACTAATCTTGTTGCTGAGACTGACTTGCAGTACAGGTGGAATGAGTTTTTGGAAAAATATATAAGAATTCATTTGCAAATTGTGGCATTCTATCAAGGTCGTTTTTCCTAAGAGTTATGATTCAGTTGTACTTCCAATGTCATAAGCTAATCAAATGAGAACATATTTATTTCTTTATCTCTTTTAACAATAATGAAGCCACTTTTTTCCATTTTCTTTTAGAGTGTTAGCATTACTCTTTTTTCTTGGTAGCACTTTCTTGATAAAACTTACTCTATTTAGAAACTTCAGAGAGTAAGGGCTAAGACAACCTGGCAAAATACAGTTATCAAGTTAGAGTTTATTACTAAACAATAATTACCATCTTTCATTTCTGCAACATAACTACCATACAATTGTTGGCTAATAAGTAATCTTATACAAAGTTTTTACTCCATTGTTTTCGTCAAAAGTGACTGATAAGCATTAGTAATAGAATATGTTCGTGCTAATAGTTATAGCATCCCTTGAAAGAAAATAAAATAAATATTGAACTTGCCTTTCAAAGTATATTTTCTAAACACTCACGATTATACTTACCAGGATACTAAGTTATTTAAATCATACACATAGATACTACAATGCATGGAGGAAATTTTTAAAAATAACCTATACGTATATCTATATTTGCATTTAGATATTTTAAATCTTCTTTCCCTCTTTCCTTCCTTCCTCCCTCCTTCTTTTCTTTCTCTCTTTTTCCTTTCTTTTTCTCTTTCTTTTTCTTTCTTTCTTTTCTTTCTCTTTCTTTCCTTTCTGTCTCTCTTTCTCTCCTTCTTTCTTCCGTCTTTCTCTCTTTCTTCCCTCTTTCTCCCTTCCTTCCTTCCTTCCTCTCTCTCTCTCTCTCTCTCTCTCTCTCTGTCTCTCTTTGTCACCCAGGTTAGAGTGCAGCAGTGCAATCACAGGTCACTGCAGCCTCAAACTCCTGGGCTCAAGGGATCCTCTCACCTCAGCCTCACAAGTAGCTGGGACTACAGGCATGCACCACCGTTCCCAGCTAATATTTTTATTTTTTATAGAGATGTGGGGCGGGGTCTCACTGTGTTACCCAGGCTGTTCTCGAACTCCTGGCCTCAAGTGATCTTCTCGCCTCAGCCTCCCAAAGTGCTGACAAGCATGAGCCTCTGTGCCCAGTCTATTTTCAGTTTTCTAAAGGAAACTTATAATGAAATATGTGCAAAAGATGTACAAATCATAAGTGCGCAGCTCAATGAATTTTTTAAAATGTATTGATATGCATACTATGCTTGAAAAAATATTTTATCATTATACATTTGGAAGGTGTTTCAATAACAAAAAACAACTTTAGGAAAAATTAACGAATAAGAATAGAAAATAATACAAGAAATGTCTGTTCATTAAGGCTATAGCCCAGTAAGAAAGTAGAAATTGAAAGGATTCCAAGAAAGAGAGATGAAGATCTAGCTGTTGATATTGACATTATGCTTACTTGAATGAGTTTTCTCTGAGTCCACACTTTATCTGTTTTATATACAGTATACAAATCGTTCAGTGTTTTGACCAATGGTAAATTCAGCTTTATGTTATCAAAACTGCTACTTTGATTATTATTCTTGGGATTACTATAATTTTTTTTTAATTTGGCAGATATGGGAACTTAAAGGAAAAAAAAGCCCTATTTCTGGAGGACATTGCAACCTATGGAGATGCATTTTTTCTTCTGCCAGCATTTTCCTTCAGGGCCAACACGGGTACCTCTTTCAAAGTATACTACACGCTCGAAGAGTCTAAAGCAAGACAAAAGGTTCTATTTTTCCATCCCAAGTACCTGAAAGATCTGGCCCTTTTCTGGAGAACTAAAGGTGTGACTGCATACCGCTTGTCCACCGGCTTGATGATCACAAGTGTTGCAGTGGAACTGTGTAAAAATGTGAAGCTGTATGGATTCTGGCCCTTCTCTAAAACTGTAGAAGACATACCTGTCAGCCATCACTATTATGACAACAAGCTACCTAAACATGGTTTCCATCAGATGCCCAAAGAATACAGCCAGATCCTCCAACTTCACATGAAAGGAATCCTCAAACTGCAATTTAGCAAATGTGAAGTCGCCTAAACAAAGTATCTTAAAATGGGAATAATTTTAATATAATGCAGTAGGTGATTAACAATGTCTCCAAACACCAAAGGAGGTGGCTAAAGAGTATTTTGAGATGAGCCCCAAAATTTGGTTTGACCAAAGCTTCCCCACTCATTTTGCAATGATGGCAAGTCATTCAATCCTTCTCATCTTCATTTTTTCTCCTTATAACATGGACACCATATCTGACTCATACAAATTTTTATAATTTATGAAAATTATTGGCATGGCCTTTGGTGTGAGGTAGGGACTCAAAGAATATTTCTTTCTTACTATTTATACCAGCCATCTCCACCTTCACCAGACCGATAATAAAAGCATGCTTTCTTGGAGATCTCTTCTAAAGAGAATAGCTGCATTACCAGTATCCATTGGATTTCTTTCTGTGGCAGGTCTCTATCAATAATATCCTTCCCATTTTTCTGTCTCAAAGACTGCATGCAAGAAAATTATATACTTAAGCAAAAAGTTCTTGATCATTCGGGAATGAAATTCTTCTCTGAGTATGGCAGTATGCCTGCTTCTGATTAAATTCACTTTTAATAGTAGCTGTGATGATATTTTGGTTGAATTTAAGCCATTTATTTTCCTCTTATGTCTACATTTCTTCATCACTTAATAATTTTATTTTAACTTCCTGCCTCATTCTTACACTTTTTTCTCTCTCACTTATACGATATACTTCAAGGACGTGAACAGTTACAATACCCAGTCTTTCTTACCTGTTGTCTTGCCTGTGGGGTCACTCACTCAATTTTATTTTAAAATTACTGAATAACTACTTCATGCCAGGCCCTGCACCAGGCTCTGTGAGAGGACAAGAAGGATTATTGCCTCTTGTAGGAGAAAACAGATGTGCATATCATTAATTATGATGGGGTATGATAAGTATTACAATGACAAAAGCTATGAATAAAGTGCTACAAGGAACAGAAGCAGGGATAATTAAATCCATTTCAGTGGAATCTATTTCAATGTACAATAGTCTCCCCTAATCTGCAGATATGGGAAGACCCCCTGTGGATGCCTGAAACCATTGATGATATTAGAAATATGTAATTGATTAGTAAAAGTAACAAAATATACTGAAATAATTAAATATACAATGTGGGGACTTTATATGCTATTTTAATAAAACTTACATATAGTTAGGACATTTAGAGCTTACTTTTTTTTCCCATATAATATCCTATCTTAAAAATTTTTCTTTAGAACATCAAAACAGAATCTCTAGTATCACTGATATGGATTTCAGAAATATTCCAAATGGTGTGAGATCAAACAGCATAGTGATACCCATGTTCCAGTAAAAGCTTAGGAGAAAAAGAATGTTTGCGGGTTTTCTTTTGTGGAGAAAATTGTAGACATTTCCAAGTTAACACATCTGAAGTTTCTGGTTCGACATCTGTGTTGCCATCCTAAAAGCACGTGTGAAATTTTACAACAATCCTACCTAGATTCACGTTAGCCAAAAATCTTTGGCTAAACAGACACCCCGAGATTTCATAAAGTGTGTTATAGTCAGAATTGGTGGTAATTAATCTACAAATCTGCAAAATAGTGTTCATAGTTTTTCTTTTTATTTTGATCTTGGTGAAAAACTTGCAGTAACTCACCATTACAGAGCGACAAGAACTGTGACGCATGTTTTATGATTTACATAGCTGATGTGGTGTATTATCGATATCCATAATCTGTCATATTTAGACACATTCATTGTGACACATATAACATGTGCATTCTTTTTATCTTTTTCTCAAGTGGGTCTATAGTTGTGATTTCACAGCAGATTGGGGTTGTTGGCCATTGTTTGAAGCTCTCCTACTCTCTTTCTAGCATAGTCAGTGTGTTGCAGAGAACTAAAGGGAGTAAAAGACACAGTGCCTCATTGAATCCTAACATTTTCTTCCTGGTAGGGCATATATCCCACCTTCCATATATCCTGCTGTGAGGTGCCAATAATGTTCTTTTGTTCCAAAACAGAACATTACTTAGAACTTTCTAAAATATGATAGAACATGAATGTTTACAATACAGCATGTCAGCTATGTAAACTGTAAAACGTAAGTCACAGTTCTTTTTGTTCTGTATTGGTGAATCATTGCAAATTTTTCACCAAGTGCAAAACAAAAAGAAAAACTATAAACTCCATCTTGTAGATTTGTAGATTCGCCACAACCAAGTCTGACTGTGACACTCCCAAGAAATCTGTATGTAATCAGCATTGCTTAAATATTGTTAGATCTAATGTGATCTTCTGCTCTTAAAACTCAAGTACATCTAAGGGCATTGAGAATGGAAAGTCTGAGTTCTGGTACTAGACAAGAGCAGCCCTTTAGGCCAGGCGCAATGGCTCACACCTGTAATCCCAGCACTTTGGGAGGCCAAGGTGGGTGGGTCACTTGAGGCCAGGAGTTTGAGACTAGCCTGGGCAACATAGTGAGTACCCTTCTCTACAAAAAACAAAAAAATTAGCTGAGCATAGTGGCGTGCACCTGTGGTCCCAGCTACTTGGGAGGCTAAGGAGGGAGGTTCACTGGAGCCCAGGAGGTAGAGGCTGCAGTGAGCTGTGATCTTACCACTGCATTCTAGCCTGTGTGACAGAGTGAGACCCTGTCTCAAAAAAGAAAAAAAAAAAGTAGCCCTTTAGTTAGGATTCTAGCTCATAACGCTGCATACTACCAGTTTCTAAGAGAAATACTAGCTTGCTGGATTCTATTTTCCACTTGTTGTTCAGCCTCATTGAGCAATGAAACAGAATAACAAGATTCCAATATAATTTTCAGCCAAATCCAAAGGCAAGGCAGAAATATTCATTTAAGTATATAGTCCATAGTACTCTGTGGTCCCTGCAAAGGGCTTCATGATCAATTGCATAGTGTTAATTTTTGCGCAGTGTAATAATCCTCGAACATCCTTGAAGTCTCTGGTGCTTTTCCCTTGGAACAAAAGGCAATGACAAATAGATCATGGCTTTCACTAAAGGATATTTCCTTCTTCATGTAAGTCCTAACCCAGTAACTGCGTGGGCTCTCAGCCAGGTAATCAGTCAAAAAGTCTTTTTTTGAGGACTCTCTGTAGAATACAGAATTAAGCAGCAAATCAGACCTGTGTTTGCCTAAATTTTTCCTTGCTTATAAAAAATTTACCAGCTAAGTATTATGTAATGTCAAGTACCGTAAATCACTCCATGAATTAGGAAGCTTTGGGAAAAGTGGAAAATTTTGTGGAAAACAGGTCCACTAACATCCTAAACAGCTACTGCAGAAGTATAGTTAAGATGTGATATATAATATATTGTGATCTTCAAGACATTTTATTTATCTAACATGACATGGAAACACATTATTATGCCATTAAAAATTGAAGGCATTGTAGGAATTCATCTGATATATCTGATGCACTTGATCTGATAAATCCACTTGAGGCTGCTAGGAGTGTTGAAGATTTCCTATTTACATGTGGCTTCAGAAGGCTGATCCCATAGCGAGGAACAGTGTCACCAGTACCCTCCTGAGAGTGGAAAGGCAAGAATATTTCTCATGGTCTTTCTTATTTTGGGTCATCACTCTTCCAGAAGCATTCTTCTTTTTATAAAAAAAATGTGGGTGATATATGATAAAGATGCGCTACTTATGTAATGGAGACAGGGCAAACTCTTTAGCAGATAATATTGAAACATTGGCTCACTCTATGGAGAAAAATAAATGCCTACATTGCACCATATAAAAAGTTGGGCTCCAGAGGGATGAAAACGATGGATTAAAAAGAAAACTTTAAAGCTCATAGAAGAAAATGTAGGAGAATTATGTTTGAGATACAGGTGAGGAACTGTACTTCTTCAACATGACCCAAAAATATCTTTTTAAATAGTTGGGTTAAGAAAGGATGGCTATGACTGTATTAAAATGAAAGAGTTCTAGTCAGTGAATGACACCTTAAAGTTAATAGGCTGGGGACAGACTGAAATAGCTTTTAGTAATGCATAAAATTAATGACATTAATAGAGAGACATTCCAAGGAATTGTAAATCAACAAGTAAAAGACAGGAAACTCAATATAAAAATGAACAAAAGATAAGAATGTGATTTACAAAGGGGAAAGCTGAGTAGCTAATAAGAATAGGAAGTGATACTCAAATTTACCAGTAACCTGAGAAATGCAAATGAAAGTGAGATACTACATCCATTGCATTGGTAAAAATGAGTAAGGTCATTAACTTCAAGTGTGGAAGTATAAGCTGATTGAATCATTTTGGAAAGCAACCTAGGAGTACTGAGTTAGTAAAATTCATCATATGTCTGTCCTATAGTCCAGTAATTGCACTTTTGCATATACAGCCAAGAGGACCTGTTCTGATCCACACAAAAAAACAAGTATTAAGGTATTTATTCCATTATGGTTTGCGGTAGTAAGTAGACAAATTGGACTCACAGATATCTGTCTCTTCGGAAGTCAGTGAACTAACTTGACTGGATCCATAGTGTGGAATATGATACAGCAGTTAGAAGCAACTTACTGGACATATATACAGAAATAAGGGTATGTCCTTTAAATTTAGCATAAAGGGAAAACAAAAGCTTTAGCACAATGCCATTTAATTACTTTAAAGCGTATGCATGCATACATACAAACATATTCAAGGCTACGTGTCAAATACAAGAAGGGTACCCATTAAGAAGAGGGTAATCGGAGTGGGTTTAGGGATAAAGAAGAAAAATATACATGTTATTATATTTAATACAGCAAGCCTTTGACATATATATTCTTATACTCACATATGATATTCTTACTACTACATAAATAAATATAGAAGCTGACTCAAAATTGTAAGTAACTTATATAAGGTTGCATTATATATAAGAGCAGAGCTAGTATTCAACTCATATGTCTGACTCTAAAGCCAATATTATTTCCATTATGCAATTATAAAATGAAAAGAAAAATCAGTATTATCCCATGTCATTGACATGTAATAAATGGCACATATTTATGTACATGCATATACCCATGAAACCGTCTCTCCAATTAAGACAATGTATATATTCATTACCCCAAAATGTTTTCTTGTGCTACTTTGTAATCCCTCCCTCTTCTTCCTCCCTGTCCATCCCACCCTCGTCCCCAGAAAATTCCTAATCTGTTTTTCTATAGACATTTACATTTTTACACTATAGACTGTTTACATTTTTTAGAATTTTATATAAATGGAATCTTACTGTCTGTACTCATTTCTTGTCTTGCACTTTTGCTCGACATAATAATATTAAAACTCATTCATGTTGATTGTGTATCTGTAGTTTATGCCTTTATTTACTGAGTAGAATTATGTTATATGGATGGACCACAGTTGGCTTATCTGCTCATTTGTTGATGAACATTTTACTATCTCCTGGTTTTGGCTATTACAAATAAAGGTATCATGAACATTAATGTGCAAGTCTTCTTGTGAACATATTTTTATTTCCTTGGGGCAAATATCTAGGATTGGAATGACTAGGTCACATGGTCCATGTATGTCTAACACTTTTAGAAAACTACCATGCTGTTTTACAAAGTGGTTATAACATTTCATGTTCCTATCAGTAGCCTATGCCAGTTGCTGTTGCCTGACATCTTTGACAAAATTTGGTTTGAGTAGTATTTAATTTTCGACAGTCTATTGGGTACACAGTTTTATCTCTGTATCTCATTGTGATTTTGATTTTCATTTCCCTTATTATTTTTTCATGTGTTTATTTGACTTCCTTATATCTTCTTTGATGAAGTGTCTGCTGAAATATTTTGGCGGTTTTTAATTGGGTTGTCTTCTTATAAGTGACTTATAAAGGATATTTATATATTCTAGATACAAGTCTTTTATTAGAATGTATTTTGCAACTACTTTCTCAGCCTTTTCATTTTGTTAACAGTGTTTCTCAATAGCAGAAGTTTTTAATTTTACTAAAGTCTAGTTTATTAATTTTAAAAATTTTATAGTTTGTGTTTTTGGTGTCAAATTTAAGAAATCTTTGCCAAACCCAAGGTAACAGATTTTCTCCTATGTTTTCTTTTAGAAGACTTATAGTTTGTTATATTTAAGCCTATGAGCCATTTTGAGTTAATTATTTTACATATGTGTTCACAGTGTAAGGTAAAGTTTAAATCATATTTTTGCATGTATCTGATCAGTTGTTCCAGTAGAATTTGTTGAAGAGACTTTGTTGTACTGCTTTGCACCTATATTGAAAATCAATTGATTTATATTTGGGCTTATTTATTTGTAGACTCTATACTGTTTCATTGATTTGTCTGTTGTTATGCCAATATCATACCATTTTTATTACGGTAGCTTTATAAGTCTTGAGATAAAACTCCAATCTTAATTCTTTCTCAAAGCTGGTATTGGTTTTGTTTGTGTTTATGTTTTACTTTTTGCTATTCTGGAAGAATTTGCATAAGTTCAGCATTTTCTTCTTTACATTTGGAAAAATTCACCAGACAAACCATCTGACCTACAATTTTCCTTGAGGGAAGATTTTTAATATTGAACAATTTCTTTAATAGATGCAGGATCATTCAGACGGTTTATTTCTTCTTGAGTGAGATGTGGTAGTTTGTGTTCTTCAGGAAATTTATCTTCTTCATCAGAGTTGTAGAATTTATCGTAATAAAGTTGTTCATAATATTCCTTTATCTGTTAATATTGTGGAGTCTGCAATGATCCCCCTGTCTGATTTCTCACATTGGTAATTTGTGTCTTCTCTCTTTTGCCCCTGGTCTGTCCAGTGTGAGATTTATCTATTTTATTGATTGTCTCGAGAACCTGCTGTTTGGTCTCTGATTTCTTCTCTGGTCCTTATTATTTCTTTTCTTTAGTTGTATTTGCTTTTCCTTTTATAGTTTCCTAAAGTCATCGATTTGAGATACCTTTTTTTAAACTTGAGAATTTAGTGCTGTATTTTCCTCTAAAAACCGTTAGCTGTTTCCCACAAATTTGTATATGTCATGTTTTCATTTTCATTCCTTTCTAAATACTTTCTAACTGCCTTTTGAAATCTTCTTTGGACCAAGGGTTATTTAGAAGTATATTATTTAGTTTCTAAATATTTCTGATTTTTTTATATGTGTTACTGTAGATCATTTTAAATTAATTTCACTGTAGTCAGTAAATATGCTTAGTAGGATTTAAATCCATTTAAATTTATTGAGACTTTGTTACAGCCCAGAATACAGCCTTTCTTGGTAAATATCTTGTGTGCATTTCAAAAGAATGTGTGCTCAGTTGTAGTTAGGTGGAGTGTTCTACTAATGTCAATTAGATCAGATTGATGCTGTTAGTCAAGTCTTATCTTTCCTAATTTTCTGTACACTTCTATCAATTATAGAGAGAAGAGTGCTACATCTTTGACAATAATCGTGGCTCTATTTCTTCTTGCAGTTCTAGCGATTTTTGCTTCATGCATTTTGAAATTCTGTTTAGTATATGCATGAATATTTAGGATTGTTATGTTTTCTTGATCAATGATCCATTGTTATAAAATAATCCTCTTTATCCCTGCTAATATTTTTTCTCTAAAATCTAATTTGTCTGATATTATTATAGCCACTCCAGCTTTTTATGTTACTGTTAGCGTATCTTTTTATCGTAGTTTTACTTTTAAGTTGATTCTTTATATCAAAAGTGTTTTTAATTAACTGAATATAGTTGAGTTTTGCTTTTTGATATAACCTGGAAATCTGCCTTTTATTTGGTGCTTTGTAATTAATGCCACACATTATTCTTATACATATATTGTAAACCCCCAGGACATTATTATTTTTCTGCTTTAAACTGTCAGTTACCTTTCAAAAATATTTTTTTAAGGCTGGGCATGATGGCTCACACCTATAGTACCAGCACTTTGGGAGGCCAAAAACGCTGACTCGCTTGAGCCCAGGAGTTCGTGACCAGCCTGGGAAATATAGCGAGACCTTGTCTGTACAAAAAATACAAAAAAACCCACAAAACAAAACAAAACGAAAAACACACACAGCCATTGTGGCACACACCTGTAGTCCCAGCAACTTGAGAGGCTGAGGTGGGAGGATCGCTTGAGCCCAGGAGGTCGAGGCTGCAGTGAGCTGTGATCATGCTACTGCACTCCAGCCTGGGTGACAAAGTGAGACTGCGTCTCAAAAATATTTTTTTCTTTTTAAAGAAAATATTTTTTTCTCTTAGCTTTCTTTGTTTTTTTTAATTGATTAACTTATTTATTATTTTACTTTAAGTTCCAGGATATATGAGCAGAACGTTCAGGTTTGTTACATAGGCATACATGTGCCATGGTGGTTTGCTGCACCTATTAACCTGTCATCTCGGTTCCCTCCCCTCAGCCCCCAACACCCCAACAAACCCTAGTGTGTGTTGTTCCCCTACCTGTGTTCATGTTTTCTCATTGTTCAACTCACACCTATAAGTGAGAACATGTGGTGTTTGGCTTTCTGTTCCTGTGTTAGTTTGCTGAGGGCAATGGCCTCCAGCTTCATCCATGTCCCTGCAAAGGACATGATCGCATTCCTTTTTATGGCTGCATAGGATTCCATGGTCTATAGGTACCATATTTTCTTTATCCAGTCTATCATTGATGGGCATTTGGGTTGGTTCCATGTCTTTGCTATTTTAAATAGTGCTGCAGTAAACATATGTGTGCATGTGTCTTTATAGTAGAATGATTTATATTCCTTTGTGTATATACCCAGTAATGAGATTGCTGGGTTGAATGGTATTTCTGGTTCTAGATCCTTGAGGAATCGCCACACTGTCTTCCACAATGGTTGAACGAATTTACATTCCTACCAACAGGGTAGAAGCGTTCCTATTTCTCCACAGGCTCACCAGCATCTATTGTTTCTTGACTTTTTAATAATTGCCATTCTGACTGGCGTGAGATGGTATCTCATTGTGGTTTTGATTTGCATTTCTCTAATGATCAGTGATGTTGAGCTTTTTTTCATATGTTTGTTGACTGCATAAATGTCCTGTCTCGAGAAGTATCTACTCATAACCTTTGCCCACTTTTTGATGGGGTTCCTTTTTTCTTGTAAATTTGTTTAAGTTCCCTGTAGATTCTCGATATTAGCCCCTTGTCAGATGAGTAGATTGCAAATATTTTCTCCCATTCTGTAGGTTGCCTGTTCACTCTGATGATAGTTTCTTTTGCTGTACAGAAGCTCTTTAGTTTAATTAGATCTTATGTGTCAATTTTGGCTTTTGTGGCAATTGCTTTTGGCGTTTTCTTCATGAAGTCTTTGCCTTTGCCTATGTCCTGAATGGTATTGCCTAGGTTTTCTCCTAGGGTTTTTATGGTTTTGGGTTTTACATTTAATTCTTTAATCCATCTTGAGTTAATTTTTGGGTAAGGTGTAAGAAGGGGTCCAGTTTCAGTTTTCCACATACGAATAGCCAGTAAGAAAAGAATTTATATTTACTTATATTTACCATTTCCAGTGTTCTTCATATTGTGTGAAGATTTAGACTTTTAATGATTATCATTTCTCCGAGGGATTTTCTTTAACATGCCTTATAGTGCCAGACTGCCTGGTAATAAATTTTTTCAGCTTTTGTATGTCTGAAAAGTGTTTGTTTCTTCATTTTCAAGTGATATTTTTGCTGGCGATGAATTCTAGATTGATGGCATCTTTCACTACTTTAAATGTGTGCTATTCTTCTGACTTGTATCATTTTCAATGCAAAGTCTGTTGTCATCCTTATTTTTGTTCTCAGATACATCATATATCTTTTTGTTATTGTTCCTTTTAAGATATTGCTTTCTACCACTGGTTCTAAGCACTTTTATTTTTATATGTATTGGTGTCATTTTCTTTATGTGTTTTGTACTTGGAATTCTTTGAGCTTCTCATTAATAGATCTGTGAGCTTATAGCTTTCATTAAATTTAGAAAGTTTTTTTGCCATTATTTTCAAATCTTTTCTGTGTACTCCCTTCCCCTTTTCAGGGACTTCAATTACTCATACATATGAAGCCACTTTAATTTGTTCTGTAATTCACTGATTCTCAGTTCATTTTATTTGTTTTTTTCTTTGGAAAAGAACTTTCCAAAGTAAATTCTTTAGATAATTTCTATTATCTTTGTGTACTACATAATTTCTATTTGGATCATTTCTGTTCCTATTTCTTCAACCTAACTAGTATTTTCTTTTGCAATGTCTAATTTTCCATTAATCTCAATCTATGTGTTTTAAATCTAAAACACTGTAGAAGTCTGATTTGTGTCTTTTTCTATCTTCCTTGTCTATTGTCTTAGTCCATTTGCACTCCTGTAACAAAAATATCATAGACTGGCTGGCTTACAAATAAGAGAAATCTATTTTTTCTCACCGTTCTGGAGTCAGGGAAGTACAAGATGCAGGCGGCAGCCTTGGTCTAATGAAGGCCCACTTCCTGGGTCATAAATAACCTTCTTCTTACTGTGTCCTCACATGGCAAAAGGGTGGATGGAATTTTCTGGAGCCTTTTCAATAAGGGCACTAATCCCATTCATAAGATCTTTGGCTTCATAAGCTAATCATCTCCTCAAACCCCTACCTTCAAATATCATCACATTGGTGATTACGTTTCAACATATGAGTTTAGGGGAGTCATAAACATTTAGTCTATAGCATCTCTATTTGACATGTGCTATCATTCTTCTACCCTCTTCAACACATAAAATATAGTTTTAACTCTTCTAATGTCCTTTTCTACTAATTTCATCATCTGTGTAATTCCTGGATCTGTCTCTACTAATTAATTTTCTTCTCATTATGGGTTATATTTTCCTACTTCTTTGAATGTCTGGTAATTTTTTTATTGAGTGCCAGACATTGTGAATTTTACTTTGTTAGATGCTGGATATTTTGATATTCTGACAAATATCTTAAAATTTATTCCCAAAGCATTTGAGTTACTTGCAAACTTAGAAACAATTTGCTTCTTTCAGAGGCTTACTTTTAGTCTTTGTTGGAATGAGAGCAGTGGTTATTCTAGTTTTTTGGTGTTTATTTTAGTTTTCTCTTGTGTCTATTCTAATTTTTTCCTGTTCTCAGACAATACCCTTGTGAGTACACTACTCCAATTCAGGGTCACAGGTGGCCAGAGCCTATTCGAGCAGCTTCAGGGCAAGGAGGGAACAAAACCTGGCAGGATTCCCCTGCATCCCAGGACACATTCACACCCACACCCCACACCCAGTATTCTCATTAGACTGCAACCATGTTGACACACCAATTCACATAATATGCACATTTCTGGTATATAGTGAGAAATTGGAGTACCCGGAGAAAAACCAGGCATGTGTGGAGAGAACATTCAAGCTCTACACAAACAGTGGCCCCAGCCAGCAATTAAAGTTTTTTTTTTTCTCATCAACAATATAACAAAACAATGTTGAATGAACCCATGTTATTCAATGACCTGCTGGGCAAGGTTGTCCTTTCTGTTGGGTGGGAGCATGAATTATTGCTGGTCTTCTAAGTTTCAGGGGATGTTCCCTTTGCTCCTTTGGGGTGACTTTTCCCAGACTCAAGTAGTGATATGGTTTGGCTGTGTCCCCAGCCAAATCTCATCTTGAATTGTAGCTCCCATAATTCCCCTGTGTGGTGGGAGGGACCCAGTGGGAGATAATTGAATCATGGAGGCGATTTCGCCCATACTATTCTCATGGTAGTGAGTAAGTCTCACGAGATCTGATGGTTTTTTAAGGGGAAACCCCTTTTGCTTGGCTCTCATTCTCTTCTTTTTTCTGCCGCCACATGAGATGTGCCTTTCACCTTCCACCATGATTTTGAGGCCTCCCCAGCCACGTGAAACTGTGAGTCTTTTTTTTTTGGTAAATTGCCCAGTCTCAGGTATGTCTTTTTCAGCAGCAGGAAAACAAACTAATACAGGTAGTTTCCTCCCACACATGTGCTGGTCGGGACTCATTTGAAGACTAGAGGGAACCCTCTGCTGAGATCCATGAAGCTGTCTTCCCTCTGCAGCTCCCTTGGTGTTCCAGGCTCCTAGATCTGTAACCTCTCTACTCAGACCTCTGGACCCCACTGAGTTCCTCCTGCCTGTGCTGTAGTCTGCAAACCCTCCAGGCAGTGGGCTGGGCATCAGTAGGCTCACCTCATTTCTTTTCTCTTTCTTGAGGATCACAGTCCTGAGTTGCCTGATGTCCAGTGTCTGAAAACCATTGTTTCATATAGCTTGTCTGGTTTTCCTTTTTATATTTGTTTAGATGGCAGCTAAATCCAGTCCTTGGTACTTCACCTTATTCAGAAGGAGAAATTACCTTCTGATTTTATTTTTATAGTGTTTGTCTCTTGTTTTTATTGGGGTTGCTGCAAATATCTTCTAGTAGTTCCCTCTGCCCATCTGAAATTTGAGCCTGTCTTCTTAGTCCCAGGATTATGTGATCACTTTCAACTTAGACCACCAGAAGTCAGTGGGATCCCATGGCACTAATTCTATTAGAAGAAAGTTTTATTTTAATAAAAACATTTTATTGGCCGGGTGCAGTGGCTCCTGCTTGTAATCCCAGCACTTTGGGAGGTAGAGGCGGGCAGATCACTTGAAGTTGAGAGTTCAAGACCAGCCTGGGCAACATGGCAAAACCCCATCTCTACTAAAAATACAAAACTTATCCCGGCATGGTGGTGCAAGTCTGTGGTCCCAGAAACTTGGGAGTCTGAGGCACGAGAATCGAATCACTTGAATCCAGGAGGCAGAGGCTGCAGTGAGCAGAGATCACACCACTTGCTGAGGCGTTGGTGGTATAGTGGTTAGCATAGCTGCCTTCCACACCACTGCATTCCAGCCTAGTCAACAGAGCGAGACCCTGTCTCAAAAAAATTTTTTTTATTAAGTGCTTACTATATATTTGGCACCTATATAAGCACTTGGCCTAGATTATCTTATCTTATTTAAACCTAAGTCAGGGTAGAGTTTTACTATCTACATTTTATAAGTCTGAAACCTGAGGTTAAGAAAGGCTAAGAAACTTTCCCTAGGTTTTATAGTTACAAACGTTAGGGGCAAGTTTCAAATTCCGATTGTATACCCAAAGCCCAGGTGCTTAATCAGTATCTTTTAGTTTCATTGTTGTTGATGGTTGAAAAAAATAACATCTAAAATTTAAAAGTTTTGGAATTTGACCATCATTATATTGGTTTTTTGTTTTTTTTAAATTGTCCCGTTCTTTGTGATTGGTTCCAAATTTTAACTTTTCTCATTTAAGGAATTATCACTCAAGCTTATACTATAAATTTTGTTTATTCTACTGGATTTATTTTAAAGTTTAATTAACTTTGGAATTATCCAATATGTTGTACTCTGATAAATTAGTTTATTTTCTGGGCCTTTAATAAGAGTGTGTGTGTATGCCTGTGTGTGTGTGTGTGTGTGTGTGCGACATCCAATAAAATACCACTGCATTATTATTCTATTCTTTGTCTTTTGAGGATCTCAAAGAGATTGAAAACCCTTAACTCAGCGATTACAGTGTCTTCCCTGGACACTAATATCACCAACTCATCTGATGTGAAAATGCAAGCAATCAAAAATCCAGGCTGTTAAACATTTGCTTAATTGTTCCCTAAGTTAGTAGCAGGTATTCAGTGTGTAGACAACAAACACCCCACATCTGGTGTCCTTTATTAAAAGCTTGCTCTGTGTCGAGCACTGTGCCCAATACTTTACATGTAATATCATGAATTACTGGAAGAATGCAATATAGCTATCCAGCTGACTTTCACAGATAAAAAACTGGCTTAGAACCATTAGAGTGCTTTCAGCCACAAATATCAAAAAGCCCCACCAAATTCTTTTACACTGTTTGGAATTCTTGGCTCACAGATCTGGAAGTCCAGAGACAGGGAAGCTTAACAGTTGCCTTCACCCTTTGGTTCTGGCTTCATTTCCCTGTGGCGTCTTAGCCCAGTTTACCTCTGTGTGATGACTTCATGCTGAGACCAGCTGTTGAACAAGTGTCATACATGCAGGTCTCATATCTGTACATCTGTATATCTGCAATGTAGAGGAGAAGGTCACTTCTGGACTATCCCAGAAGAAAGAACTTTCCTTAAAGCCCCTACAAACCTTTGCTTGTTTCTCATTGGTTCAAACTGTCCACACGCCTATTCTATTCTATTCTATTCTATTCTATTTTATTCTATTCTATTCTATTCTATTCTATTCTATTCATTTATTGTTTTTATTTTTGAGATGGAGTCTCCGTCTGTCACCCAGGCCGGAGTGCAGTGGTGTGATCTTGGCTCACTGCAACCTCCACCTCCCAGGTTCAAGCGATTCTCCTGCCTCAGCCTCCTGAGTGGCTGGGATTACAGGTATGAGCCACCACGCCTGGCTAATTTTTGTATTTTTAGTAGAGATGGGTTTCACCATGTTGGTCAGGCTGATCTCGAACTCCTGACCACGTGATCCACCCGCCTCAGCCTCCCAATGTGCTAGGATTACAGGCCTGAGTTACTGCGCCCGGCCCACATGCCTATTCTTAAAGTAGCCATTGGCAAAGGGATTTGGGGTGTAACCTTCACCTTTAGTCTCATCCCTAGGGGTTCTAAGGCGGACACATGTGTACCTGAGCAAATTGAGGGTTCTGTCGGGAAGGAGGAAGGGAGGAATAAATGATGTTGGATGGGCAACTAACCATAGTTAGTATAAGTATCTTCCCCTATCTCCTAAGTGACTGAACTAGAGTTTGAGCTCAAATAGTTCGGTCTCCACATTTCGTGATCTTCTCTCAAGTCCTGAAGCTTCTTAGAATGCCATCCTGCTGATCACTGAGCAGATACGCTGTAGGTGACATTAAATTTTCCCCCATAAAATTAGTTACTAGACACGACATGCATTCACTCTAGAAACAATACTTACATCAATACCTTTTAAAAATTCCTTTTATGCACTGATTAAATTACATCATCGATATTTTATTAATACCACAGTGTGTAAACACTGGAAGATATTATATAAATATCATCGATATTGTGTTAATAACATAGTGTGTTAACACAAGATGATATGAAATAGATAAATATCATTGATATATTTTATTAATATCACGGCATGTTAACACTAGATGATATGGCTGGGCGCAGTGGCTCACACCTGTAATCCCAGAACTTTGGGAGGCCAAGACGAGTGGATCACCCGAGGTCAGGAGTTCAAGACCAGCCTGGCCAACATGGTGAAACGTTGTCTCTACTAAAAAATACAAAAATTAGCTGGATGTGGTGGCGCATGCCTATAATCCCAGCTACTCTGGGGGCTGAGGCAGGAGAATTGCTGGAACCTGGGAGGGGGAGGTTGCAGTGAGCCGAGATCACGCCATTGTACTCCAGCCCACGCCGACAACAGCGAGACAGTATTACAGGGGAGTGTACACACCCCCTGCGACATAGGGGTACTATCATCCTTTCTCTTCCTGGATATTACGACCGCTATCATAGGGGGGTGTATACATGCCCTGCGATATCGGGGGTACTATGAATCTTCCCCCCGCTGGGTTTTTTGACCAGTATCATAAAGGGGAGTACAAACTCTCTGCGACATTGGGGTCACTATCATCCTGTCCCTTCCTGGAAATAATATCCGGAATCACAGGGGAGTGAAAACGCCACATGTGATATGGGGGGTACTATCATTCTGTCCCCCCTTGGATACTGCAACCGGTATCACGGGGGGTGTACACATCCCCTGCGACATTAGGGGTACTATCACCCTATCTCCCTCTGAATATTACGACCGCTATCATAGGGTGGTGTATATATGCCCTGCGATGTCGGGGGTACTATCATCCTGTCCCACCCTTGATATTTCGACCGGTAGCATTATCCTGCTTCTCCCTGGATATTACGACCAGTATTACAGGGGTGTGTACACACCCCCTGCAATATTGCGGGTACTATCATCCTGTCCCCAATGGAATATTACGTCCAGTATCACGGACTGTAATTTTAGGAGTAATGTCTCTGTAGAATATGATAAATAATATCACAGAATGGACACCAACTGTGATATTAGGTGTAATATCTCCCTAGAATATTAAGAATAATATCCCAGTGTGTACACCCCCTTGTGATATTAGGAGTAATATCTCCCTAAAATATTATGAATAATATCACAGGGTATACACCCGCTATGATATTAAAAGTAATATTTCCCTAGGAAATTATGAATAATATCACGGTGGGTCTACACCCTTCATACTACCTGTGATATTGGGTGTACACCCACCGTGATATTAGAAGTATTATCTCCCTGGGATATTACGAAAAATATCACAGCGTGTACAGCTACTGTGATACTAGAAGTAAAATCCTTCTAGGACATCACGAATATCACAAAGGGTGTACACACATGGTGTACACCCACTGTGATATTAGGAGTAGTATCTTCCTAAGATATTACAAATAATACTCCTAATTATTTACTCCTAAATATTATTCCTAATATCACAGAAGGTGTATACTCATGATGTACACCTACTGTGATATTAGGAGTAATATCTCCCTAGGATATTACAAATTACATTACAGGGTTTACACAAATGGTATATGCTTAATGTGATATTAGCAGTAATATATCCCCAGGATACGTACAAATAATATCACAGGGTGTACACTCACTGTGGTATTAGGAGTAATATCTCCCTAGGATATTACAAATAATATCACAGGGTATACACACATGATGTACATTCACTGTGATATTAGGAGTAATATTTCCCTAGGATAGCACAGATAATAAAACAAGGTGCACAGACTTGGTGTAAACCCACTGTGATATTAAAAGTAATATCTTCTTAGAATGTTACAAATAATACCACAGGGTGTACACTCACTGTGATATTAGTAGTAATATCTCCTTAGGATATTACAAATAATTTCACACGGTGTACACCCACTGTGATATTAGGAGTAATATATTCCTAAAATATTACCATACTATCACAGAGCCTACCCCCACTGTGTTATTAGGAGTAATATCTTCCCAGGATATTACAAATAACATCACAAGGGTGTACACCCACTTTGATATTAGGTGTAATCCATGCCTAGAATATTACAATAGTATCATAGAATGTACACCTATTGTGATTTAGAAGAAATGGCTTTCTAGGATATTGCACATAATATCACAGGGTGTACACCCACTGTGATATTAGGAGTAATCACTCCCTAGGATGTTATGAATAATATCACAGGGTTTACACCCACTGTGATATTAGGAGTAATATCTCCCTAGGATATTATGAATAATATTACAGGGTGTAACACACATGGTGTACACCAAATGTGATATTAGGAATAATATCTCCCTAAGATATGAATAATAGTGTGTTAACACTAGATGAAATTATACAGCTATCATCGATGTACTTTGTCAATATAATAGTGTGCTAACACTAGATGATCTAGAAATAACATTGATTTATTTCATCAATATCATAGTGTGTCAACTCTGTGTCAACACTAGATGATATTACATAAATATCATCCATATTTATTAATATCACTAGATGATATAAAAATATCATTGATATTTTATTAATATCATAGTTTGTTAACACTAGATGTTCTGTATTAAATTGAAATGTAATATGGAGGATCTGATATTCTTATTTTTCTCTTTCATAAGACAATACCTTGATTAGTTTTTTCATCAAACAAGTGTAATGAAACGTGTGCTCAAGTGTGAAGTCTTAGAAATAGCTATTAAGACTAGACTTTGTAGTACACTTTCTGGACCTACTGATCTTTGGGTAAAGATAGTGATATTTTAACAAGTTTGTCTAAAGAGCTCAATGCTGATGGCTTCCTAAAATAGTTGCCCTTTCATTCAGTATTCACCCAAGCTGCTCTTCTAAGAATCATGCAGTGTCTTATACATTAGCAGCACCATAGTAGTTCTACTCACAGGACAATGGTTGGTTTCCTAGCAATAAACATCTCTGAAGACAATGCATCTTTTCATTTTACATCAGTAAGTCAACAGCTTATAAGAGTTTATTCTTTTTGTTTTGTTTTCTGATATTTATTTTAAAAGTCATATATTTGTATTAGCAAATTACAAAGAAAGGTATAGAGTAAAAAGTAAAAGTTGTGGAGTAAAAAACTCCATGAACAAAATGAAAATATAGTACACAAAGGATTACTCTCCAGACTATATAATTACTGACATTAAATCAAGACAAAAACATTTAAATACAAAAAAGTTAATAATAAAAAGAAGTAATTCACAGTTTTAAAAATCTAAGCTTCATTTATACTCAGGAAAATGTAATCATTGAAATCACACTGACATACCATTTTCAGTCCAAGAGATTGGGGGGGGAAGTTATGAATAACGCTAAATGATTAATCTCAATCTACAGTTAAGAATGTACATTAGAATCACTAATTTAGAGAACAACTTGACAAAATCTAGTAAAGATGACGATGCACATGCCAGAAACTCAGAAAATGAATTTCCAGGTATTTGCCCAAGAGAGACTCTTGCCCATGTGCTCGAAGAGAGATGTACTGGTAACTAGCATTGTTCATAAATGCAAATAAAAAATACAAATTAATCCAGATAGTGGATAAGTAAACTGCATATTACACACTACAATACCACGAGAAGACAAAAATTAACTAAATTTTAAAAGTCTATGTTTCAATGGGTTAATCTCAAAAACACAGTCTGGAGGGTTTTTAAAGAAAATTTGCAAGTAGTAGAAGAATATGTGCAATATTATATTATTTTATAAAGATACTATTTAATAGAGTAATCATATGTCCTAGTTTGCCCAGACAGTCCTAGTTTATCCTTTTTCATTCTCAAAGTTGTCCAGTTTGAATGGCAATGTATATAGTCACCAAGGTTCTTTGAAATTAGAATTTCATAAACAGAATTCATTAATAATGTACCATATCATTACTGAAAAGTTTAAAGTTCAGGTTTTTAAAACTCTTAACCAGAGATTGCATATTTCTAACTCTCTGAGATTCAAGAGGACATTGATACCTGGTCACACAGGTGTGTAAAGGTCTTTAGGGGAATTGCCTGAATTTTGAACGCTTTTTATCTCTACTGTGAATGGATTTTGTTTTCTGAATGGGCATCTCTCTAGAAATGATGCACAATTAGAAAACTATGAGGTCAGTTCCAGTACTTCCCTGATTCATTCCAGTACCAGCTTCCAATTGCGGTCATAAATATATTTAACCTCTCTTGTTCTTTTCCTTCATTCTAAGAAATGTAGATGGAAGTACCCACGCCACAAAATATCTTCATAGATTAATACGTTCAGCACTTTAAAGGCAAAAGCAACCTATCACTTAAGTATCTTAACATATTTATTGTCAGCTTGTCAAAATATTTCTGGATACAATTAAAGCTAGACATTGAAGACACCAGAGTAATTATAGCTCTCCTGAAGATCAGAAAAAAAATTCACGTGTGAAAAATAAAACTGGTCCTAATTTAAACATAGGTTTCAAAAGAAGACCTTATGCAGCCAACAAACATATGAAAAAGAGCTCATCATCACTGGTCATTAGAGAAATGCAAATCAAAACCACAGTGAGATACCATCTCACACTATTTAGAATGGCAATCATTAAAAAGTCAGGAAACAACAGATACTGGCAAGGATGTGGAGAAATAGGAATGCTTTTACACTGTTGGTGGGAGTGTAAATCAGTTCAACCATTGTGGAAGACAGTGTGGCGATTCCTCAAGGATCTAAAACTAGATATACCATTTGACCCAGCGATCCCATTACTGGGTATATACCCAAAGGATTAGAAATCATTCTACTGTAAAGACACATGCACACATATGTTTATTGCAGTGCTATTCACAATAGCAAACACTTGAAACCAACCCAAATGCCCATCAATGTTAGACTGGATAAAGAAAATGTGGCACATATACACCATGGAATACTATGCAGCCAAAAAAAGGGTGAGTTCATGTCCTTTGCAGGGACATGGATGTAGCTGGAAATCCTCATTCTCAGCAAGCTAACACAGGAACAGGAAACCAAACTACACGTGTTCTCACTCATGAGTGGGAGTTGAACAATAAGAACATATAGGCACAGGGAGGGGAACGTCACACACTGGGGCCTTTTCAGGGGTGGGGGGCAAAGGGAGGGATAGCATTAGGAGAAATACCTTATGTAGATGACAGGTTGATGGGTGCAGCAAACCACCATGGCACATGTATACCTATGTAACAAACCCGCAGTTCTGCACATGTGTCCCAGAACTTAAAGTATAATTTAAAAAAAGAAGAAAAATAAAACTGGTCCTGATTTAAACACAGGTACCAGCCCACTCAAGAGGAGGTGCCAATATTTATTTTCCCTGTTGACAAAATATTCCTCCCATCTCCATGGCACAGTAGTAACAGTAAATAGGCTTCCTTGTCTATACATGCCAGAGACAATTATTAACTTTTTTTTTTTTTTTAAGACCAGCAGTCTCCCTTTGTCACCCCGGGTTGGAGTGCAGTGGTGTGATCATGGCTCACTGAAGCCTCGAATTCCTGGGCTCAAGCGATTCTTCCACCTCACCCTCCTGAGTAGTTAGAACCACAGGAGTGTACCACCACATCTGGAAAGTTTTTTAAGTTTTTGTAGAGATGGGATCTCACTATGTTTTCCAGTCTTGAACTCCTGGCCTCAAGCCATCCTCCCTCCTCAGCCTCTCAAAGCACTAGGACTACAGGCGTGAGCCACCACGCCTAGCCAATTATTAACATTTTTATGGTATATTGGAAAACTTAAGAAAACATTTCTTTGCTTCTTGCTTTTTGTCTGTCTTTTCTATGTTTTGAGAAGCTACTAAAAATTCCATACAATTTCTAAATAATTCTTAATATCTGATAAATTTCCAGTTCTTTCCATTTCATTTAATACATATCTTTGGGTAAATATGTTTGTTTTATAACTAGAGGGCTTCTGTGATAAACAGCCTGTTTTACAATGTTTGCATTTGTAAATATTGAATATCACTGAGCACTGATGGCCATGTAATAAATATGGTATCAGCATATTTTCTTATCATAGTAGATCTCATATAAGGACTCAGCTACTTGTAACTGACTAAAACCAAAATACATAATCTATTATTTATAAATAACTTCTGAGATTTGTATAAACTATCACCAACTTTTCTTGAGTTGTCATTTTATTGAATTTTTTGAGGTTGTCACTAGTGTTTTATCCTCATTTTATAGATAAGAAAATTAAAGATTCAAAACTTGAGCTAGATTTATAGCTGATAAGTGGAAACTAAAAAAATACATGTATAATAACTTCTTATTTTGAAATATTTTAAATTTCCTAGTAATAATATTTTCAAGAATAGTATAATAAATTTCCCATCTGCTCCTTTAGATGAAATTACCAATTGATTTGGGGTTATATGAATGAGATTATGATTCTTCATCCTAGATTCCTAAATCACCAAGTCCTTTCTTTTCCTTTCTTTCTTTCTCCTTCCTTCCTTCCCTCCCTCCTTCCTTCCTTTTCTTTCTCTTTCTTTCTCTTTCTTTCTTTCTTTCCATATTTCTCTCTCTCTCTCTCTTTCTTTCTTTTTTTTTTTTTTTTTTTTTTGACAGACTCTTGCTCTGTTGCCCAGGCTGGAGTGCAGTGGGGCAATCTCGGCTCACTGCGGCCTCCACCTCTTGGGCTCAAGTGGTCCTCTCACCTCAGCCTCCCAAGTAGATGGGACTACAGACATGTGCCACCATGCCCAGCTAATTTCTTTTGTATCTTTTGGTAGAGAGAGGGTCTCACTATGTTGTCAAGTTTGGTCTAGAAATTCTGGGCTCAAGTGATCCTCCCACCTTGGTCTCCCAAAGTAATGGGATTACAGTTGTGAGCCATTGAGCCTGGTCTCACCAAGTATTTTCTAAGAACAGTATCATCTGCTTATATAACTACAATATAATTAGAAATGAATTGCAGAAAACAAACTTCCTTCTTTACCAACATACTCGATTGCCTCCTCCATCTGGGTGAAGAACAAGAGTATTATTTATGTCTGCAATCCTTGAGTCAGTTATTTATTCAGTTCCTGAGAAGAATTTTTCTAGTATTTTTGCTATTCTTTGGCATATTTATTTGTAGGCAACTGGTGAGTGGTATTTTACTTGTCAGGAAATACAGTCTGAAAATACTTCACAAAATTCTTATTATTATAACTCATTTTTAGCTAGCTTTTAAGCAGCCTACATGGTCTCTGGATGCAAATTAGAAAATTGAGCAAGAGATGAGAGTCAGCAGATTTTCTCTTCCAAAATATCATTCAACACATTTACTGCAGTGAATCAAACAAAACAGAATTCTTTGGTCTTCAGAAGTCTTTGGTTTCTTCTGTATGCCTTAAGAAAATGTCAGGGTCATTCATTTTTGTCACAGCCTTTCTCAGGATTATTACAAAACCCTGGAAGGTTTTAGGGTTCCCCTGTCTTCTCTCCATTTCCAGCAAAGGGGTGAACACTGGTTTTTAACACATCTTCAAGCAGAGGACTCTATAGGCTTCCTATGACATGTATTCCAAGGATGTTTTTCTTTCTTCTGCATAATAAAATTTGGAATCAATGAATTCTGACCTTAAGGACTTCACTACATTTACTGGTCGAGCCACGAACCTGGAAGTATTTTGTGAGCTCTCAACCTTGGCACTGTTGCAAGGCAAGTGACATGGTTTTGCTGTGTCCCCACTCAAATCTCATCTTGAACTGTGGCTCCCATAATTCCCTTGTGTTGTGGGAGGGACCTGGGAGGAGATCATTGAATCATGAGGGCAGTTTCCCCCATACTGTTCTCATGGTCGTGAATAAGTCTCATGAGATCTGATGCTTTTATAAGTGGATACCTCTTTCACTTGGTTCTCATGCTGTCTGGCCTGCCGCCACGTAAGACATGCCTTTCACCTTCTGCCATGATTGTGAGGCCTCCCCAGCCACGTGTAACTGTGAGTCCATTAAACCTCCTTTTCTTTATAAATGACCCAGTCTCAGGTATGTCTTTATCAGCAGCATGAAAACAGAGTAATACAGCCAGACACAAAAACAAACCAGCCACATTACAGCATCCCATCACAGGTAACAAGTTTGACTTTTCATTCTAGTTCCTCAGTAGAAAGGCAGTAAAATTGTATGTATAATATTAGGCACTTGGAGGTATGACCTGTCAACCTCTGAGACAACGGGGATGGCAAAGCACCTCCGTTTAATAAAGAGCAGTATGAACTGGCACTTCTGACATTAAATATAACATCCATCTTTCCCCAGACACTTCACGGAAGCTAGATTCCTGATGAGACAATGATGTCATTCCCATTTTATTTTTCATAGATCTACAGTCTCAAAGCTTAAAGCTGGCATATTTTTTTTGTTCCCAATATTTCAACCATATGTCAGATTCACGGAGTTGATGAACTCAAGTCCCTTGGCATGCTGAGGGCTCTGCCTGCTTAGCCACCCGCCAGGTCTCAGAAGAGAGCTCAGAGATGCCTGCCCTAAGAGGTTGGCTGTCCTCATCTCTAAAGTTCTCTCTTTCATTCCCCCAAATCAACAAACCAGTGATGACTACTTTGTCCAAGACAAGATGGGAGGGGAGGACATTTTAAAGGCAGGATGGGGCTGGACATCGTGGCTCACACCTGAAATCTCAGGACTTTGGGAGGCCAAGATGGGAGGATCGCTTGAGCCCAGGAGTTCAAGACCAGCCTGGACAATGTAGTGAGACTGCATCTCCACAAAAAGTTTAAAAAATTAGCCCACTGTGGTGGCACACACCTGTAGCCCCAGCTACTTGGGAGGCCCAGGTGGTGGGATCACTTGAGCCCAGGAGTTTGAGGCTGCAGGGAACCACGACTGCACCACTGCATTTCAGCCTCGGCAACAGAGCAAGACTCTGTCTCTAAATTTAAATAAATAAATACTAATTTTAGATGCAGTTAATTATTTCTTTGAGTTGCCTTGCCCATAAGGCTGTGGGGTAAATGAGCCATGAAAAGTGAGAAGCACATAGGGTCTCAACACATGTAGCCATAGCTGTTTATTACTATTATTATTATCTCACACACATTTCTGTTTTTTTTTTTTTATTTTGAGACAGGGTCTTGCTCTCTTGCCCAGGCTGGAGTGCAATGGAACAATTACAGCTCACTGGAGCCTTCAGCTCCTGAGCTCAAGCAATCTTTCTGTCTCAGCCTCCCAAGTAGCTGGGGATACAGGTGCACACCACCATGCCCAGCTAATTTTTGTTTTTTGTGTTTTTTTTTTTTTGTAGAGATGGGGTCTCACTATATTGTCCAAGCTGGTCTCCAACTCCTGGCTTCAAGCAATCTACCTCCCTCAACTCCCCAGTGTGCTGGGATTACAGGTGTGAGCCACTGTGCCAGGCCTACACATTCCTTTTATAACCTCTAAAAGTGTGGAACAGAGATGTGTCAATGAGAACATCCTAAAAGCTGACGGTACGCAAATGTAACTTGTAGTGAAATAAAGTCAATATTATATATGTAAAGAGACTTCTGCCATTATATTTAAACTGCAATTAATCAAGACTACATCGTAAAGCATCTTATTCTTTTTTCTTTTGAGGTATATAAATGGTTGTCTTTTAGTTTTGATTTCCAAGCGCAGAAATTTTTAGTAGGCACCCTGGACTTCCCCTACATTATTTTTGTTCCAGGGAAATGCAGCTTCTCATAGGTTCTAGAAATCTATACTTGAATGAAGTCATTTTTCAAAATAAAATAATAGAACTGTTTTCAAAGATATATTCAAATGACTGGATTTTTAAAATATTAATCGACATTCAAGAGAGGCAAAATTAATGCACTGTTTTTAAAGTATAAGTCAAGTATTGTTAAGATATTTCAGTCAGGCCAGGTGCAGTGGCTCATGCCGGTAATCCTAGCACTTTGGGAGGCTGAGACAGGAAGATCACTAGAGCCCAGGAGTTTGAGACTGGCCTGGGCAACATGGCAAGACCCTGTCTCTACAAAAGATTAAAAAGTTAGCTGGGTGTAATGGCAAGCACCGGTAGTCCCTGCTACTTGGGAGGCTGAGAAGGGAGGATTGCTTGAGCCCAGCAGGCTGCAGTGAGCCATGTTCACACTGCTGCACTCTAGCCTGGGTGACAGAACAAGAACTCGTCTCAAAAAAAAAAAAAAAAATCCAGGCCACGTGTGGTGGCTCACGCCTGTAATCCCAGCACTTTGGGAGGCTGAGGCAGGTAGATCACCTGAGGTCAGGAGTTTGAGGCCAACAAGGTGAAACTCCGCCTCCACTAAAAATACAAAAATTAGCTGGGCCTGGTGGCAGGCGCCTGTTATCCCAGCCATTCAGGAGGCTGAGGCAGGAGAATCACTTGAACCTGCGAGGCAGAGATTGCAGCCAGCTGAGATTGTGCCATTGCACTCCAGCCTAGGTGATGAAGCGAGACTCCATCTTAAAAAAAAAAAGCCCAATAACTACTTTGTGTTTAAATCCTTGAAAAAGTATAAAGATGCATTTGGTTCATTTGGCGACTAAGTAATGTTTTAAGGAACGAGCAAAGACATCTTTTTATTCTGTGTTTATGGTTTCTCTGCCAATGTGATTCCCTCAAAAACTTAAGAAAAGTCTCTGAAATTTTACTTCCTATCAGTTGCTTGTGTTAGTAACCAAACCTGTGTTCTTTCCTAGATGTAATCATCAAGACCAGTTAATTTTTTTTTTCTATCTCTCCTGCCTCTTTTTTTCCACTTATTTTTAATTACCTTAAGGCTGGCGGGGCGCGGTGGCTCACGCCTGTAATCCCAGCACTTTGGGAGGCCAAGGTGGGCAGATCACGAGGTCAGGAGATCAAGACCATCCTGGTTAACACTGTGAAACCCCCGTCTCTACTAAAAAAAAATACAAAAAAATTAGCCGGGCGTGATGTTGGTCACCTGTAGTCCCAGCTACACAGGAGGCTGAGGCAGGAGAATGGCGTGAACCCAGGAGGCAGAGCTTGCAGAGAGCCGAGATCGCGCCACTACACTCCAGCCTGGGAGACAGAGCGAGACTCCGTCTCAAAAAAAAAAAAAAAAAAAAAAAAAAAATTACCTTAAGGTCGTGCAATGTAGATAAGGCAGGAGGGAAGGCTTGGAAAAGTTGTCATGCTGAATCAAACTTTTGGCAAAACTGTCACTGCTACAAATTGGGAAGAAGACCACATGCCTACTAGAACTGTAGCTTTGAGGAAAGAACTTGGAAATCAGAACATTAGAAGTGTTCATTGCTATCACTTATATTTAGCAAAGTGTTTTAAGAATGAGATGAGCACATATAAGAAATGGCTGCTTTGAGACACAGATAGAAGGGAACCGAGTGAGACCATCCATCTGGTGATATGAACTGTTGGAAAATCCATGCTTTGCACTATGCAAGGGATGCTTTTGGATCCTATGCAAAAGGGGAAGACCCCCAAAAGCTTTCCCTGAGATTGCCACTGACCAAGCATCATAATTCTAAAGTACTAAATGCTACTGCTAACTCCTTTGTTTTAGTTGAAAATTCTAGCTTTCATAAATATAACTGGTAGTCCCCAGCTTATTAAGTGATTGCATAAATAGAAAAATCAGGCCAGGCACAGTGGCTCATGCTTGCAATCCCAGCAGCTTGGGAGGCTGAGGCGGGTGGATCACTTGAGGCTAGGAGTTCAAGACCAGCCTGGCCAACATGGTGAAACCCCATCTCTACTAAAAATACAAAAATTAGCCAGGCATGGTGGCAGTCGCCCATAATCCCAGCTACTTGGGAGGCTGAGGCAGGAGAATCACTTGAACCTGGCAGGCAGAGGTTGCAGTGAGCAAAGATTGCAGCACTGCACTCCAGCCTGGGTGACAGAGCGAGACTCTGTCTCAAGAAAGAAAAAAAAAAATAGAAAAAGCATGTAATAAAATGTAATGTAATCTTTATTAGATGATATTCAACTGCTCTTATTATAATTGTAATCTGAATTCAATAAGAGATGAAAATGCATTATCTTCATCTATAAAACACATACACAGCACATACATATTCACACACAAGTACACAACAACACACACACACATACATCTAAATTAGAGCTCTGTGACTCCTTGGCAGTGCCACTGGGAAACACAGATGACAGAAACTTTATATTTGGGTTTCTAGGAAAGCACGTTAGCATAAATTATAACAATGAGATTTTCTACCAATTTACGGTTTCCCTGTTATCTGCACTTACTTTAAAATCTCTCCAATAATGATCTTTACTGCAAGTATATTCACAGTTTACTTATAGGAAAAATGACATAACCATAGCTACCAGCCTGGTGCGGTGGCTCCCCCCTGTAAACCCAACACTCTGGGAGGCCGAGGCCAGCAGATTGCTTGAGCTCAGGAACTTAAGACCAGCCTGGGCAACATAGCAAGACCCCGTCTCTACCAAAAATACAAAAATTAACCAGACGTGGTGGTATGTGCCTGTAGTCCCAGCTACTTAGAAGGCTGAGGTGGGAGGATCGCTCGAGCCCAGAAAGTCGAGGCTGCAGCGAGCGTGATCTCACCGCCCCTGCACTCCAGCCTGGGTGACAGAGCAAGACCCTGTCTCTAAATAAATAAAAAAGTAGCTACTATTTATTGAATGTACTTGCTGGCATTTTACACATATCCTCTAACTTTCACAGTTGCCCTCATATTTAGGTACTATTAGCCTTGTAGTGGGTGTGAGTATTTTATTTTCTACTAATAGGAAATTCACTTTAAAATATCTTAAAAAAATAGGAAATTGACTAAAATATACTGCCTCAGTCAAGAGCAGTTTGGCCTCTTGTGTGACTTAAGCCAAGAAACGAAAGGCCATGGGATACCAAGACAGTCCCCTCTTCAGTCATGCTCCCTATGTCTGGAACCACATTGACCTTGATTTCCACATATGGCTTCTAGTTCTCTGCTGTCTGACTTTCTTGGCTTTTTCTCACACCTGCTACCCCACCATTCTCTGGTGCCAGTCACAAACAGAGATTCAGTGACAGCTATTTCATGTCAACTACAACTTCCCTGGAGAGGAAAGCTAATGGTTCGGTCTGGGTCACACATCACATCCACTCCAGATAATAGTCATGCAGTAACAAACATGGCTGCTAAATGAGTCACAATAGCCAACATATGGAAACAACCGAAGTGGTGAATGGATGAATGGATACAATGTGAAATATACATACACACACAATGGAATATTATGCAGGCTTAAAAAAGAAGGAAATCCTGCCATTTGCAACAACTTGAATAAACTTGGAGGACATTATGTTAAGTGAAACAAGACAGACACAGAAAGACAAACATTGCATGAATCTCATTTATCGTGGAAACTAAAAGAGTCAAACTCACAGAAGCAGAGGGTAGAGTGATGGTTGCCAGGGGCTGGGAGTAGAAGGAGAGGTGGGGGAACGGGGACATGTCAATCAAATGGTACAAACTTTCAGTTATAGATGAGATAAATAAGTTCTGGAGACGTGATGTACAGCATGGTGACTACACTTAATAATTACATATTGTACACTTGAAATTTGCTGAGAGGAGATCTTAAGTGTTCTCAACACATACACACACATACACGCACACAGAAATAATAACTGTGAGGCAATGGATACGTTAATTCAGCCCTCATAGAAACACACAGCATATTTTAATATATTAACATATATTAACTGGCTTGATTGTGGCAATCAATTCACAAAATAAACTTATGCAAAACATCATATTGTACTCTTTAAGTATTTGCAATTTTTTTGAAGAAAGGGTCTTGCTCTGTTGCCCAGGCTGGAGTACAGTGGTGCTATCATGGCTCACTGCAGCCTCCACTTCTCCAGGCTCAAGTGATCCTCCTACCTCAGCCTCACAAGTAGTTGGGACTACAGTTGATGCCACCACACCTGGCTAATTTTTTGTATTTTTTTTTTCAATAGAGACAGCATTTCACTATACTGCCTAGGCTGGTCTTGAACTTCTGGGCTCAAGCAATCTGCCCACCTTGGCCTCTCATAGTGCTAGGATTATAGGCATGAGCCACTGCACCTGGTCACAATTTTTATTTGTCAATCAACAAAGTTTTATTTGTCTCATTAAAGCTGGGGGAAAAAAACTCACGTGGTTGCCAACACTCCAGTCTGAGCAGGAACATAGGAGGAGGGGACTTACTTAGAAGAAGGATACTATGAGGTCTAAGCAGACACCGTAAGGAGATATTCTACAACCACTATCTTAAAAATAAGAAAGCAGAGACATTGAGAAGGCGAATAATTTATCCAAAGCTGCTAAAAAGAGGAGAAGCCAGCAAGAATTCAACTCGGGTCTGTGTGACTCCTAAGCCCATATCGTTAAGCTTTGCTCTCAGCTTCCTGTAAAGCATTCACCGCAGTTCTTTGAATCACCATCTTCTCATTTTATTATCTGAATTCAGATACATACAACTCCTAAGTAAATGAATAATCCATGATCATCATAATCCTCAACTCCTTTAGAAATGTTAATAAATTTTCAGTTAACCTGTCTTCTCCTTAAGGATTTATCCAACATGAATACACACTGGAGAAATAAGTAAGATTTTAAAAGCCTTACTATTAATTTATTTTCCCACTAAATCCAGTGGATTTCCCAGAAGTTGAATCTTCTGGGAAAAAATGTTTAACTCATTGATAGGCAGAAATGAGAGACCCATTGAGTAGATAATATGGTTCCTCCGGAGGTGACTTTTTTTTTTTCTTTGAGATAGGGTCTCACTCTGTTGCCTAGGCTGGAGTGCAGTGGTGCTATCTTGGCTCACTGCAACCTCCGCCTCTCCTGCCTCAGCCTCCCGCGTAGCTGGGATTACAGGCACTTACCACCACCCCCAGCTAATTTTTGTATTTGCAGTAGAGACAGGGTTTCACCATGTTGGCCAGGCTGGTCTCAAACTCCTGGCCTCAAGTGATCTGCCTGACTCAGCCTCACAAAGTGCTGGGATTACAGGTATGAGCCACCACACCCGGCTGACATTTTTAAAATCTTAAGGCCTGCTATTAGTTGTAGTTAGAGCCTTGTAATTCTTCTTCATAACTAAAATAATGGAACGCCCCTTGAACCAGCTGGTGTCTTAGTTATGACACTTCTGTTCTGCAAGAAGTGAAGGTGAATGGATGGCAAAATGTTTTCTGCTATCAGAAAATAAAGATTTTATGATTCTGAGAAAACAAAAAGTAGTAAGAGCAATTCCTGGTGAAAGATTCTGTGCAAAAATGGGTAAGCTTTTAATCTTACCGGAAGAGGAGTGATTCCGCTCTGTAGTGCTTGAACCTGTCTAAATGGAAAAAGGCTGTCACATAAAATCAGCATGAATTCATACACGCAATGGCTTTTTGATGTGGATTGACTATCCTGTAGGGCCCTCTAGGGACTGAACTGTAATCTCCAAAACTCGTTTCAATCAGACCCGAGAACCAGAGGTGAAACCACAGTGTTCAGGTGACCCACGTCTTCAGCTCAATCTTGCCTTCAAGAGATTTTCTGAAATATGTCATTTGACTTCATTCACTAGGTACAAAACTAATATTTGAGAGAGGAAGGAAAAGGGGCATCGTCATATTTTCTTAAAGGATTATTTATTTTAGCATAGAGTAGCTATCAGGGAACCGAAGTTTCATAATCACCACTATCTAATAACCTGCACTGTGGCTAAATCAGATTTGCTCTTCTCCTGAAATGAAGGATTAGCAGAATTGCAGGTGCTGAAATGGCAATTTAATAGAAGCTTCTATTTTCTACAATTTAACAGAGGTGAGAACGGTTGGCACGCATGGGACAGTGGAATGCATAATGCTGACAGCCCTGTAGAAATGCACCTGCTCTAATGGTTGATTCTTTCTCATTATACACAGAATGCTATTCACAAGCTATCAACTACAGAGAGTCAAAATATTAGATCGCAACCACAGGACACATTAAAAGTTAAACCGGCTGGGCGCGGTGGTTCACGCCTATAATCTCAGCACTTTGGGAGGCTGAGTCGCGCAGATCACGAAACGAGGTCAGGAGATCGATACCATCCTGGCTAACACGGTGAAACCCCGTCTCTACTAAAAATACAAAAAATTAGCCAGGAATGGTGGCGGGCGCCTGTAGTCCCAGCTACTCAGGAGGCTGAGGCATGAGAATGGCGTGAACCCGGGAGACGGAGCCTGCAGTGAGCCGAGATTGCGCCACTGCACTCCAGCCTGGGCAACAGAGCAAGACTGCGTCTCAAAAAAGAAAAAAAAAAAAAAAACAAGCTCTCCAGATTGCTAAATGGTGACTTGGGCTGATAGTTATTTTCAGCTTTTGATTTTCAAAGCTTTCTGAGGGTGCTTTGGGTTGCTCACAGGTCAATGTTCCTCTTCTTTTTGTTTTACAGGGAAATAAAATTCTCACCTCCTGGGTGTGGGGACAATTTTTCATCCTCAAAAAATTAGGTGGCAGGGAATAGTGGAGATCTTCCAGCTTGCTCAGGATTCAACTTGTAAAGCCTCCAGTATTCATAAATTTCAGCTCATGTGATCTTTATTGTAGACAATTTAAAAAATTCTAGCCTGGATCTCTTTTATGAAGTGGGTCTTCCGTGCTATAAATGATTTAGTGGGAACTCAAAAATATTTATTGGTTCATAATTTCATAAATGTGGTGCAAGTGACTGGGGAAAACGAAAAAGTAGTGCTTCTTTTAACATAAAATAACACTCGATAAAAAGTTAGTTCTTCTCTCCATTCTCAGGCTAGACATTAATCCCATGGTGTTCTTGGCATTCTGAAATACAGTAATCCAAAGGAAATATTTCTTTCTTTCCATGCACATATGTATGTTTGAATGAATGTAAGCTACCTTCTGTGTTTTCAACTGATTCTGAATTACTGGCAAAATAGCAATGGTAGTGCCACCAGAAGCCATTTGATCAGCATGAGTAATAGTGATACCAGGTTATAAAAAAGAATTATGACTTCTTCCCATTTATCTTTTTTCCATGAGGTCTTCAGGGTGGCAGCTCTTAACCAGTAGTTCAAAAGAGCAACGTTTACATTTTGATTTAAAAAGAAAAAATAGTAACTCTCCACCCAAACAATACTGACCCAATATTACAAAAAGAGATTGTTGAGAAGAGAGATTATTTAGACTTGACCTGGTATGCCTAGCAGCAGCCTCTTTTTTGCATATTAGTATTATACTAACTTGAATTTGGTTTATTCAAACTAGAACTGTTTATCAAATGACTTTTGTAGTCTGTGTCACCTGTACATACAGCTTGAATCCTTAAAAGGTGCAGGGTAAATGTATACAAATTTACCTATAAAAGGTGCATGGTAAATGTACACAAATTTACCTATAAAAGGTGCATGGTAAATGTGTACAAATTTACCTATAAAAGGTGCATGATAAATGTATACAATTAATGTCATACATGCATAGTAGCAGGTGGAGTGTTGCACAGAGTGGATGAGAAATGCGTTACGGAGTGAGTACCTGCCCCTGCAAATGATTGGTCTCACTTAGCTTCATGTCGCTGTCAAGGAAGGAAAAGCATTTAGGAAGCGAGTGAACACTTGAACTCCTGAGTAAACAAGAGAAGGCTGTCAGGATAGGAGACTGTTGTATTCAAAAGATGCTAAGGGCAATTAATTGCGGAAGCCGAGGAAACCCTCAATTTCACACCATGATGTATTCAAGAAATAATTATTACTGTGGAAGTCCATTTCTGACCATTCGTTTTGTGTTATGTGAACCCAAAAGTATCTGAGACATATCTCAATCAATTTAAAAAGTTTATTCTGCCAAGGTTAAGGACATGCCCGTGACACAGCCTCAAGAGGTCCTGAAAACATGTGCCCAAGGTGGTCAGTGAACAGCTTGGTTTTATACTTTTTTTTTTGAGACACAGTCTCGCTCTGTCGCCCAGGCTGGAGTGCAGTGGCACAATCTTGGCTCACTGTAACCTATGACTCCAGGGTTCATGCCATTGTCCTGCCTCAGCCTCTCAAGTATCTGGGACTACAGACACCCGCCACCACGCCCGGCTAATTTTTTGTATTTTTGGTAGAGACACAGGTTCACCGTGTTAGCCAGGATGGTCTCGATCTCCTGACCTCGTGATCCGCCCTCCTCAGTCTCCCAAAGTGTTGGGATTACAGGCGTGAAACCACCGCACCCGGCCGGTTTTATACATTTTATGGAGACATGAGACGTCAGTCAATATGTGTAAGATGAATACTGGTTCGCTCTGGAAAGGTCGGACAACTTGAAGCCAGGAAGCGGGCTGCCGTGTCATAAGTAGTTAACAGAAAATCGGTTGCATTCTTTTGAGTCTCTGATTAGCCTTTCACTGAATACACAATCTACCTGTGAGATGACAGTAGAGGAATAGTCACTCAAGCCTTAGTGTGGCTCAGTGAAACAAAAGGGCAGAGAAAGCTATCAGATATGCATTTGCCTCACATGAGCAGAGGGATGACTTTGAGTTCTGTGTGTCCCTTGTCCACAAGGAATTTCCTTGTGGGCAAATTGTGAGGGAGGGAGGTATCTTGTTTATCTTTGTAGCTTTGTTATTTAGGAATCAAATGGGAGGCAGCTTTGCCTGATGCGGTTCCCTGCTTGACTTTTCCTTATGGCTTAGTAATTTTGGGATCCTGAGATACGAGTCTCTAGGTCCCTCCAAGTACGTCCTAGATTTGCAAACTTGCAAGAATAAATCAGACATGGATCCTATGCTCAAGAATGCCACACACTAGTTAGGGAAATAAAATATGTAAGAAGCAATTCTAATAAAGCCTGGAAGTGAGCCACAGCATGTGAGAAATAGAGGGGGATAGCTCAGCTGTGCTGTGCAGACTTTCCTGCGGATCCTCCGGGAGGAGACCTGCTGTGGGGAGTGGAGTTAGCTAAAGAGCTCCACTGGCCACACCTCCAGGACCCACTGCAGACTTCAGCCAGGGCCATACACTCTCTGGGTTGCTCCCAGTCAGTAAGGATGGGACACCTGAGCCAAACCATTCTGCTCCAGTGCAGCACTCTAACAATCTTTGCTCCAGGGCACTCCATCATCCTGGCCAGGCTTTCTCAGAGCTGCACTGGAATCTGAGGTTCTTCCTGACACCTCCTCCTCCCTCTTCTTTCACAGGTGTCAGACTGCAAGCCTGGTCTGGAAGCTTTGCCGACTCTTGTTCCTCCTCTCCTTTACCTTCTACAGGGGATTCCAATTCCCCTAATAAATTTCTTGCATGTGTTATTCTATATTGATATCTCTTTCCTGGATGACATGAACTGATACTGAAAGCTAAAGTCTTTGAAGGTTCAGAAAAGTGATCAGTTTTCATTCATTTGCAGAGATTAGGAAAGAAGACAAAGATAAGGGAACATTTGAGCTGGGCCTCTCTATGAGGCAGATGGGAGTAAAAGTATAACAGTCTTTAGCACATTTAAAAATATGAAATGGTTTATATTAATGAATGAATTCTAAGACCATTCTTTGAGACTGCCATAGTGGTGCTCCATTGATTTCAATACCAACTGGTATGATTTGGATCTGTATCCCCTCCCAAATCTCATGTCGGATTATAATCCCCAGTGTTCGAGGTGGGGCCTGGTGGGAGCTGCCTGGATCATGGGGTGGATCCTTCAAGTATGGTCTAGCACCATCTTCTAGGTGCCGCTCTCATAATAGTGAGTGAGTTATCACAGGATCTGGTTGTTTAAAAGTGTGTACCTCCGGCTGGGCATGGTGGCTTATGTCTGTAATGCTAGCACTTTGGGAGGCCGAGGAGGGTGGATCACGAGGTAAGGAGTTCGAGACCAGCCTGACCAACATGGTAAAACCCCGTCTCTACTAAAAATACAAAAATTAGCCGGGCGTGGTGGTGTGCGCCTGTAATCTCAGCTACTTGGGAGGCTGAGGCAGGAGCGTTGCTTGAACCTGGGAGGCAGAAGTTGTGCTGAGCTGAGATCGTGCCATTGCACTCCAGCCTGGGCAATAACAGCGATACTCCGTCTCAAAAAAAAAAAAAAAAAAAAGTGTGTACCTCCCTCCCCCTTTCCCTTCTCTCTGGTCCTGCTCTGGCCACATAAGATGTGCCTGCTTCCTCTTCACCTTCCGCCACGATTGTAAGTTTCCTGAGGCCTCCCCAGAGGCAGAAGTCATCATGGTTCCTGTACAGCCTGCAGAACCATGAGTCAATTAAACTTCTTTTCTTAAGCTGGGCTCAGTGGCTCACGCCTGTAATCCCAGCACTTTGGGAGGCTGAAGTGGGTGGATTACTTGAGGCCAGGAGTTTGAGACCAGCCTTGCCAACATGGTGAAACTCTGTCTCTACTAAATATACAAAAAAATTAGCTGAGCATGGTGGCAAGTACCTGCACTCCCAGCAACTAGGGAGGCTGAGGCAGGAGAATCACTTGAACCCGGGAGGTGGAGATTGCAGTGAGCCTGCAGTAAGCCGAGATCACAAGACTGCACTCCAGCCTGGGTGACAGAGCGAGACTCCATCGCAAATATATATATATATAAAATAAAGCTCTTTTCTTTGTAAATTACCCTGTCTCAGACTACTACACCAACTGTAGCAAAATTCATCATTGGGATTCCATGACATCTCTTTCCCACCAGGTATTCTAGCAAATGGCTTACCTTGACCCCTTCTACCTTCCCTGCCTATGCTGTAGATGAGGGAACTACAGAGTTGTGAAGTTGCGTAAGTCACTGGGGGCAGCTGAGGGACAAAGTGAAGGAAAAAATATTCCACTAATGATCTCAGCCTTAAAATACTCAGCTGCCCCACTGGGATTTATGTCTTTGAGAAAAGAAACCATTATTGTCTAGCACCTCACTTCTATATTAATTTTCCTAAAACATTTACTAGCTTGCTCCAAAAGCTTCTCTGTGGCTATTCACTCCCTTGAGAAGGTCCAAGAAATACAAGAATCTCAAACGGCTTTCCACTTCACAAACAGGGCAGGTGTTGGGCATCCTATGGTTAAATAAGATCTAGAAACAGTTTGTACCATAGCATATACTGAGGAGGACTTACCATGCACATACACAGAGAAGGTCCTGGAAGTTCTAAAGTAAAGAAAACATTCAACTTCATTTACTTTCATGTTTGCCAAACTTATTTGATCACAGTGTTCTTAATTCAGCCACCCCCAATAAATATCTCACAGAATTTGTCCTCTTTGAGAAATTCTGGCTTGGAAGTTTCTTTTATTCTATTTCATAAAAGTTTTATTTTTTTTTTTTAGTCATAAAAGAACACTGTGATGGTTAATTTTAGGTGTCAACTTGACTGGGCTAAGGGATACCCAGATAGCTGGTAAAGTATTATTTCTGGGTATGTCTGTTCAGGTGTTTCCAGAAAAGACTGACATTTGAGTCAGTGAACTGAGGAAGAAAGATCTGCCCCCACCAACATGGGTGGCACCTTATAATCCACTGAGGGCCCAGAGAGAACTAAAAGGAACAGAAAAGGTCAATTTGCTTGCTCACTCCTGGAGCTGAGATGCCAATTTTTTCCAACCCTTGGATGTCAGAACTCCAGCATCTGCAGTTGTCAGACTCTGGGATTGCACCAGTGGCCCCCGCAACCCCAGATCTCAGGCCTTCAGACTGGGGCTGAGCCACAGTATTGGTTTCCCTTGCTCTGCAGCTTGCAGATAACCCATTGTGAGACTTTGCAGCCTCCATAGTCTTGTGAGGCAATTCCCCTCATAATTAATCTTTTTCTTTCTTTCTTTCTTTCTTTTTCTTTCTTTCTTTCTTTCTTTCTTTCTTTCTTTCTTTCTTTTCTTTTCTTTCTTTCTTTCTTTCTTTTTCTTTCTCTCTTTCTTTCTTTCTCTCTGTTTCTTTCTTTCTGTCTCTCTCCTTCCTTCCTTCTTCTTTCTATCTCATTTATCTGTCTATCAAATCATCTATCTGTCTCTATCATCTATCATCCTATCTATCCATTTATCTCTACCATCTCTCTTTCTCTATCTCTATTAGTTGTTTCTCACACTGCTATGAAGAAATACCTGAGACTGACTAGTTTATAAAGGAAAGAGGTTTAATTGATTCACAGTTCCACATGGCTGGAGAGGCATCAGGAGACTTACAATTATGATGGAAGGCAAAGGAGAAGCAGGCACCTTCTTCGCAGGGCAGCAGGATGGAATGTGTACAAGCAGGGGAAATGCCAGATGCCTATAAAACCATCAGATCTCATGAGACTCATTCCTTATCACTAGAAGGGTATGGTGAAGACTGCTCCCATAATCCAATTACCTCCACCAGGTTTTGCTCTTGACATATGTGGATTATAATTCAAGATGAGATTTTGGGTGGGGGGCACAGTCAAACCATATCATTCTGCCTCTGGCCCCTCCCAAATCTCATGTCCTCATATTTCAAAATGCAATCATACCTTTTCAACAGTCCCCCGAAATCTTAACTCTTTCCAGCATTAACCCGAAAGTCCAAGTCCAAAGTCTCATCTGAGACAAGGTAAGTCCTTTCCATCTACGGGCCTGTAAAATCAAAAGAAAGTTAGTTACTTCCTAGATATGATGGGAGCACAAGACTTGGGTAAATTCTCCTGTTCCAAATGGGAGAAATTGGCCAAAACAAAAGGGCTACATGCCCCATGCAAGTTTGAAATCCATCAAGGAAATCATTAAATCTTAAAGCTCCAAAATGATTTCCTTTGATTCCATGTCTCACATCCAGGTCATGCTGATGCAAGAGGTGAGCTCCTATGGCCTCGGGCAGCTTTGCTTCTGTGGCTTTGTAGGGTATCGTCCCCCACCTCAGCTGCTTCCACAGGTGGCATTGAGTGTCTGTGGCTTCTAGGTGCATGCTGCAAGCTGTCAGTGGATCTACCATTCTGGAGTCTGGAGGACAGTGGCTCTCTTCTCACAGCTCCACTAGGTGGTGGCCCAGTGGGGACTCGGTGGGGGCAAAAATCCCACATTTCCCTTCTGCACTGCCCTAGCAGAGTTTCTCCATGAAGGCTCCGACCCTGCAGCAAATTTTTGCCTGGACATCCAGGAGGTTCCATACATCCTCTGAAATCTAGGC